>NC_000012.12:34108626-34261321 GCF_000001405.40 Homo sapiens | reverse complement strand
CCAGCTCTGTTCCCTCAAACCTGGAGCCCTGGCTGCATTTAGATGTTTTCAGGGGGCAAGGGGCTTGCGTTTGTATAATTGTTTACAGGTGAAGAGTTGACATGGGAGAGGAGGATGAGTAATCAGCAGCTGTGCCGGGCCTTTGCATACATTTATGGAAGAAAAGGGATCAGAGGATGATGGAACCTTGAAGAATTAACACACTTCTCTTGTGACAGTACCTGACAAAATTTAGAGCTTTGAAAACCAGACACCCACATTCTAGAGACAGCCTTGTACCTGGCTCATTTCATGGGAGATGCTTAAGAGAACACTATGTTCTTATGGTGACATTCCTAAGCTTTTGCCTTAGAAAGGTCCAAAGTGGCCTAATAATATAGACATTGGCTCAGCCCTCATCACTGATGCCTCTGTCCGTTTGGCAAGAGGCACCCACAGGTAACACAGTGTAGCCCAGGGCAGGTCTGACCATGCCAGGTCTCTCTTGTCATCTAATCTGGGAAACCCCACCTGGCCCACCATAACCATTTGTTGCAGGGGGAGCAGGAAAGAAGGGGGCTATCCCTGACAGGGGCAGGTTGTCAGGTGCTGGAACTCTGGTGGGCCTGTCATGTTCACACCCAGGTCATGGCTGGTTGAATAAAAAGTTGAGTGTTGGGGACAAAGTGTGTCTATTCAGATGTAAATCCCAAGGCTGTCCTCTGCTTTCCTCACGGGCTGGGGGTCTATGCAGATGCTCCTACGTGTCTGATCTGGGGAGCAGAATTTCTAATGGGGATGTCACCTTGTGGCGAAAACAAGGGAGACGATTAACTATTTTTTTTTTGCGGGGGGCTTGGCTTGGGTGCTGAGCATTCTCTTTACAGAGCTGCATTAAAATCAATGAGCAGCTGTTTGATGGGTTCAACTCCCCATCTCCTTGGACAAGGGGTAGGATAACTATACCACCAAGCATGGCCCACAGTGAGCTATGGTGACAGCAGACACATGTGAGTCTCTGCAGACAGGGGCCTGACAAGGCCAGGATGGGCCCAAAACCCAGACCCAAATATGGACTCTCTCTGGGCTCTCTCTTAGAGCCTTTGTCTCTGAGTGACCCAAAGTTCTGCCGCCAAAAATCTGGCCTTCATTAATCCCAATGGCAACTTGGTTAGGTGTAAAGTCCCTGTTTACGTACCTGTAGAAATACCAGGGAAGGCCTTTGTGTTGTTTTTACTTTACAGTAGGCTGTATTTATTCATGTTGCTACAGTTTGTATTGTTTTAACTATTTACCCAAGATATCTTCTGTAGTAGGAAGCTTCACTGTACTGCCAGACCTTCTCTGAGACTTAAAAGCCACCACTATTACTAGGGAGGTTTTTACACAAAAATAGGAAAGAGGTTACATAAAAAAGATTACATTGTTCCCTGCATTTGTCTGCAATGCGTCATCTCAGAGAACTCATCCCTGTAGCCCATCAGGGCAGAAGCTGTGCCTTCAAACGTCTTTGTAATGTTCTACAAAAGGAGATCATTTCCCAGAGTGGTTTAGCCTTTCAATGCTGGTGGAGCCTTTCAATGCTGCCATGATAACATTCTATTTTCATTTTAGCTCTAATGCAGAGAACATTATCTGTGTGTCATGATTGGCTGTAACAGTTTGCTTGGGCTTCCGTAACCCAGTTCTGTGGACTGAAGATCTCAATGGAAACTGAGTTTCTCATAATTCTGGAGGCTAGAAGTTGAACATCAAGCTATTGGCTGAAGCTGTTTCTCTAATGCCTCTTACTACTTGAGATTAGTTGACCACCTTCTATTTCTGTTTTCACAGCTTCTGTGTCTTTACTCTTTTTAAAAGGACTCCAGTCATATTAGATTAGGGTCCACTTTACTGAACTTACTTAATCACAGTCACCTCTTTAAAAACCATATGTCCAAACACTCACTCACACTTTGAGGCTGATTACATTATATATGCCTTAGAATGTCAACATATAAATATTAGAATATCAACATATAAATTTGAGAGAAGTGACACAATTTAGAACATAATATGCATTAATGTAGATTGCCAGGAAAGTGATTACTGGGTGAAAGGATATACATATGTAAAATTTTTATAGCTACAGCCAGGTGACTTTCCACAAGGTCTGTTGCAAGAACAGTCCCTGAATATAGCTGCTTCTCTAGACCCAGCCTCTCCTGGATGTTAACATTCTTTTAATTTTTTGACAATCTCATGTCTGTGGGGCCAATAAAAACACACTGGTCCTTTTATTTCCCGTTTTCCAACTGATATGTTTGAGTCACTTTTTAGTTGTTATTTTAAATATGGATTTGGGTTTTCTGTTCCTCAAGTTACCTCCTTAGATCTTTGGCTCTGTCATTAATCCTGGAGTCTCCCAGCATTTGTCTTCTTACCAGGTCTGAAAATGTTGTGTCAGTTTCTTAAGACTTTCCTTAATATTAAAGAAAGAAAAACAGTATATTGCTTTAATTCAAAAGGGTTCTTCTAAGCTGTCTTGCCCTGTTCACTGTCTCCAAAATGGAGAGGAAATAAGGCTTCTCCAGGTTTTTGCACTCAATGTCAGAAGCCGCTGTGTTTCAGGTAATTTAGAGGGAATTTCATGCAGCCCTCTCTGTGAAAGTTTCTTAGTTCTGACCCACGTGCTGTTCAGCAGCCATTTGAAATTGTGAAGCCTGTGTTTACTCATCTCTACACTGAGGACTTTTTTGGAGAACTCAGTGGGAAAATATACTTTATACAGGCTACTAATATGGGCGGGTGCTGTTGCTTCACAGATGACAAAATTCCATGAGGATTTCTTGTAGGTATTAGTGGTTAGATTACCCTCAACCCCATATCGAATTTTTTTTTAAGTCTAAAACTTTTTTTTTCAGGGACATGCATGTCCTCCACATTCACAGGAAGGAATGTTTGTGGCCGGGTGCAGTAGCTCATGCTTCTCATCCCAGCATTTTGGGAGGCCAAGGCGGGCAGATCACTTGAGGTCGGGAGTTTGAGCCCAGCCTGAACAACACGGAGAAACCCCGTTTCTACTAAAAATGCAAAATTAGTTGGGCGTGGTGGCACATGCCTGCAATCCCAGCTACTCAGGAGGCCAAGGCAGGAGAATCGCTTGAACCTTGGAAGCAGAGGTTGCAGTGAGCCGAGATCACGCCATTGCACTCCAGCCTGGGCAACAAGAATGAAACTGCATCTCAAAAAAAAAAAAAAAGGAATGTTTGTTACATTTACACACCACAGTTCTTTCTCCTTCCCAATACAGCATGGTGCATCTGGGAGAGGACTCCCAACTCCTGGCTTCAGAATGCTCAAAGACATGGTGGTGTACTTTGAATGACAGATTGGTTTGGCTGATACCAAAGGTAATAAAAGAAAATGAATCCTGAGAAAAGGTTTGAGAAACATTCAGAATTTGTAGGCCAACCAGTTTGCATCAGACTCTCTCTGGACAAAGCCACTATGTGAAAACTGTGACCAGTGATTTTTTTAAATGCTCAAGTTTAATGGACATATATAATGTAATATAATATAATCAGCCAAAAAATACAATATATACAAAGTATGAGGGTAATGTAGCCCAATAAGAAAAACAAGATAAATATCCAGAAATCTAACCTAAAGAAATAGAGATGTATAAATTACCTAAAAATTTTAAAAATCATTATCTAAATGGTGCTCCATGAGCAAAATGTGAGCACAGACAACTAAATAAAATCAGGAAAATGAGAACATACACAATAAGATAAAAAATATTGAAAAGCAAATTATGGAGTTGAAGAATATAAAAAGAAACAATGCCTGAGAAATTATGAAGCTTAAGAAAAAACCATAAAAATTAAAATGTTCAACAAATTTTAACCAGGATAAACAGAAAAAGATTCATAATAAGAAAAATTATAAGCAAAGTTTTGAAAGTCACCGACTAGTAGATAATCTTGAAAGCCAAAAAAGAAAAGCTATGTATCATTTATAAGGGTGCTTCTATGAGATAACCAGTGCATCTAGCTGCAGGAATCTTGCCGGCCACAAGGGACATGGGTAATATAGTCAATATGCTGAAAGAACAGAAACTTTTAAGCAAGAATACTATATCCAGATAAACTATTTATCAAGAGGAAGAAAAACTAAAGTTCTTTCATGATGACCACATACTACAATAGCTTATCACCGCTAGGCCTGCACTACAAGAAATGCTAAAGAGAGTTTTTTTCATGAAAAATAAAGTGATGCTAAACAGTATCGCAAAATTACATGAAAGTATGTAACTCTCTGGAAAAGACATATACAGGCACAAAAATAAAATTCTGATAAATTCAAATGATGGTTCATAAAACATGTAATTATGTTATATAATTAAAAAACAAAAACTGAAAAATATTCAAAAACATTTGTTAATGATATATAATATAAAAAGATATTAGTGACATCAATAATATAAAGTTGAGGCAGATGGAAAGAGAAAGAATGTTTGTATGCAACTAAAGTGAAGTTTTACTGGCTGGGCATGGTAGCTCACACCTGTAATCACAGCACTTTGAGAGGTGGAGGCAGGTGGATCACCTGAGGTCAGGAGTTTGAGACCAACCTGGCCAACATATTGAAACCCCTTCTCTATTAAAAATACAAAAAAATAGCTGGGAGTGGTGGCAGGTGACTGTAATCCCAGCTACTCAGGAAACTGAGAGAGGGGAATCACTTGAACCCGGGAGGCGGAGGTTGCAGTGAGCCGAGATCACACCATTGCACTCAGCCTGGGAACAGAGACTCCGATTAAAAAAAAAAAAAAGTTAAGTTGTTACCAATTTAAAATATATTGTAACTTTAAGAGGTTTTATGGGCCAGGTGCGGTGGCTCACGCCTATAATTCCAGCACTTTGGGAATCCGAGGTGGGCGAATCACGACATCAGGAGTTTGAGACCAGCCTGGCCAACATGGTGAACACCTTGCCCATCTCTACTAAAAATACCAAAAATCAGACGGGCGTGGTGGGCACTTGTAATCCCAGCTCCTGGGGAGGCTGAGGCAGAAGAATCATTTGAACTCAGGAGGCAGAAGTTGCAGTGAGCTGAGATCGCACCACTGCACTCCAGCCTGAGCGACAATGTCAGACTCTGTCTCAAAAAAAAAAAAAAAAAGGTTTTATGTAATCCCTATGGTAACCACAAGGAAAATATTTAGAGACACACACACACACAAATACATTAAAGTATGTCACTACAAAAATCAAGGCCGGGCGCCGTGGCTCACGCCTGTAATCCCAACACTTTGGGAGGCCGAGGTGGGTGGATCACAAGGTCAGGAGATCAAGACCATCCTGGCTAACACGGTGAAACTTCGTCTCTACTAAAAATACAAAAAAATTATCCGGGCATGGTGGCGAGTGCCCGTAGTCCCAGCTACTCGGGAGGGTGAGACAGGAGAATGGCATGAACCTGGGAGGTGGAGCTTGCAGTGAGCCAAGGTCACGCCACTGTACTCCAGCCTGGGCGACAGAGCAAGACTCCGTCTCACAAAAAAAAAAAAAAAAAAAATTCAAGACAAAAGGGAAGAGTAAAAGGAGTGGGTAAAGGGGAAAACATAGCTATAAAAATCAGAGAAAACAATGACAAAAGTAAGCTCTTCACTTTCAAAAACATATTTTAATGTGTATGGACTAAACTTTTCAATCAAAACATGTAAATTGAATTCAGGGATTAATAAAACAAAACCCAACTTTATCCTCTCCATAAGTGACTCACTTTAGATCTAATGTCAAAAATAGACTGAAAGTAGCAAGACGAAAATAGACTTTTGATGTAAATGGAAATCGAATGGAGCAGTGCTGGTCACAACTTTGTTAGGGAAAATACATTTTAGTCATGGTTCATAAAATAAACTTTAAGTCTGCCGGGCACGGTGGCTTACGCCTGTAATCCCAGCACTTGGGAGGCTGAGTCAGGCGGATCACGAGGTCAGGAGATGGAGAACATCCTGGCTAACATGGTGAAACCCTGTCTCTACTAAAAATACAAAAAGTTAGTCGGGCGTGGTGGCAGGCGCCTATAGTCCCAGCTACTCAGGAGGCTGAGGCAGGAGAATGGCGTGAACCCGGGAGGTGGAGCTTGCTGTGAGCCGAGATCGCGCCACTGCACTCCAGCCTGGGAGACAGAGTGAGACTCCTTCTCAAAAAATAAATAAATAAATAAATAAATAAATAAATAAATAAATAAATAAATAAAAATAAACTTTAGGTCTAAACTGTCACAGGAGACAAAGAAGGATATTACATAATAATAAAAGGGCTCATTCACTGAGAACTTATATAATTTTATTTTATATATGTGTGTGTGTGTATATATATATATAATTCTCACACCAGTGTTTCCAAATGTATAAAGCAAACATTGAAATAATTATTACAATAGACAGACAAATAATAATAGAATACTTTAATTCAAACTTTTAATAATAATTAATAAAGCTAGCCTAAATGTTAATAAGAAAACAGAAGTTTTGAAAACACTAGAGAAAAATTAGACCTAATGGGAATATACAGAATACACAGCAACAGCAAAACACACAATTTTCTCAACAGCTCATAAAACATTCTCCTAGATACACCACCTATTAGGCCACAAAACAAGACTTAACAATTTTTTAAAAATAGAAATCTTAAAGACTATTATTTCTGATCAAAATGGAATAAAACTAGAAATCAATAACAGAAGAAAACAAAAATGTCAACATATATGGAAATTAAACAACACACTTTTGAGCATGCTCATGTTCAAGGGTTGTAAGACTTAATATTGTGAAGATGTTCATACTTCCTAGTGAGCTACAGATTCAATGCAATCGCTTTTCAATTAACAATTTTTTTTTTTTTTTTTTAGAAATAGAAAAAGCAACCAACAAATTATATGGAATCTCAAGGGGCAATAAAGAGCCAAAAAATGTTTAACAAAAGAAATAATGTTAGTGACCTCACCTTTTCTGATTTCAAAGCACATTACAAAGCCACAGTAATAAAAACATTTGGTTCTGGCATAAAGACAGACAAGTTTTCCAATAAAACACAATGTAGCACAGACGCAAACCTTGCACATATGGGCAAATAGTTATTGGAACACCTATATTCACTGAAGCATTATTCACAAAGGCCAATATTTGAAAGCAAAACCAACTTTCCTCACTGAATGAATGAATAAATACAATTTGTAATATTAAAGTAGTGGAAAACTACTCAGCTTTTAAAAGCAGAAAATCTTGTAACATCCACAATAAAGATAAACCCTGAGCACATGATGCTAAGTAAACTTAGCCACAATAAAACATGGGTATTATTAATTTATTTCATGTGTACTGAGTTTTAGTTTTGCAACAGAAAAAAGTTTTACAGATATGTTGCATAACAATGTAAATACACTTAACATGACTAAACTGTACAAGAAAAAATATTTAAGATTCTCACTCTATGTTATGTACTTTTACCACAATTAAAATTAAAAATGACATCTGAGGGCAGGGTGCAGTGGCTCAGGCCTGTAATCCCGGTACTCTGGGAGGCCGAGGCGTGCAGATCACTTGAGGTTAAGAATTCAAGACCAGCCTGGCCCCATCGCTACTAAAAACATACAAATTAGCCAGGCCTGGTGGTACATGTCTTTAATCCCAGCTACTCAGGAGGCTGAAGCAGGAGAATTGCTTTAACCTGGGAGGTGGAGGTTGCAGTGAGTTGAGATTATGCCACTGCCCTTTGGGCGACAGAGCAAGACTCTGTCTTAAAAAATAATAATAATAAAATAAGACACCCAACAGAGATAGAGTTATAAACTTTCTGAAAAATTACCTTCAAACCACAAAATGCTTTCTTTCACACTAAGATAATATAAGATAAAGATGTTGAAATCAGGACAATTTCCATGACTACTCACCTAGACAGAATAAATTACTGGCCTCGAACCAAGAAGAAAAATATACAAATAATAAACAAAATAGTGGTAATATTTATACAAGCAAACAAACACTTAGATAATTATATTGACAAAGGATGTAGGGCTGATTCACAGTTGACTTTTGCCCCACACTGTCTTAAGGTGTACAGAGTTGAATACTGTCATACAAAATTATAATATATAAATTAAAACTAAAAACAGTAAACTAACGTAAGGTGGCCTACCCTAAAATAATGAAACACAGAAATGCAAAATTGCAAAGTTAAAATTAACATTAACTCCCAAAATTCTGATTTGAATAATGTAATTCAAAACCATAATAAATAGGTAGAAACTAGAAACACAACTGATGTGAGGCAGCCTACTCTAAAAAAATACAGAAATATAAAATACAAAACATAAGGAAGAGAAACTTTAACCCATAAAATCCTGAATAAACATAGAAAAGAATTCTAGATAACTACAATTTTGAACTGTAACTGTGCATCCACGAAAAGCATGAATTTTGAATCATTTGGATACAATTACGGCAACATTTCAAAGAAAACACATTATAATTATTCATAAACAGCTTTGATGAGAAAGTTTTTAAAAAAAGCATTTCAGTAATACTAGAGAAACTTTTAAATTATGCTACTGATACATTGAAACATTTCTGCTTTTCTTTTTTTCTTTTCTTTCTTTTTTTTTTTTTCTATTTTTTTTTTCAGACAGAGTTTCACTCTTGTTGCCCAGGCTGGAGTGCAATGGTGCAATCTCGGTTCACCGCAACTTCTGCCTCCTGGGTTCAAGCTATTCTCCTGTCTCAGCCTCCTGAGTAGCTGGGATTACAGGCATGAGCCACCATGCCCAGCTAATTTTGTATTTTTAGTAGAGATAGGGTTTCTTCATGTTGGTCAGGCTGGGCTCAGACTTCCAACCTCAGGTGATGCGCCCACCTCGGCCTCTCAAAGAGCTGGGATTACAGGCTTGAGCCTTCATGCCCAGCCCATTGCTGCTTTTCTTACAAAATGGTAAGGCTGTAATCTAGCCTTTAGAAGAAAAGTCTTCCATTTCTAAATACAATAACTATATATATATTGTAAATACAGTATAAAACATTGATATATAAAATAAAATTGGTTATAAGTTGTACTATTATTCAGGTAAAAGTTGAGGAAACTGGAAGGAAATGCTAATAATAACATTGTGCCTAAAGTAGATGAAACATACAAAACAAATATTTTAATAAATGATATAATTTATATATAACACATACATTTGAGCATGTTATTTTATTTAATTAATTAATTAATTTATTTATTTATTTATTTATTTATTTTGAGATGGAGTCTTGCTCTTTTGCCCAGGCTGGTTGGTGTGCAGTGGCATGATCTTGGCTCACTGCAACCTCCGCCTCACAGGTTCAAGCAATTCTCTTTCCTCAGCCTCCCGAGTAGCTCTGATTACAGGCACATGCCACCACGCCCGGCTAATTTTTTTTTTACTTTTAGTAGAGTTGGGGTTTCATTATGTTGGCCAGGCTGGTCTCAAACTCCTGACCTCGTGGTCCACCCGCCTATGCCTCCCAAAGTGCTGGGATTTCATGCGTGAGCCACCGTGCCAGGCCTTGAGCATGTTATTGTAGAACTTCTGAAACTAAGATTACAGACAAATTACAGACATATGACAATTCAGAAAATGAAAACACAGTCATGGTAATCTTCATGTTAAAGAAGACAGAATCACAAAATAATTGAGAAATAAGTTAATAATTGGGAATTCAATATATGTTCAGCAATATTCTAATTTCCCTTATTGGAAAAGCTTTTTAAGGAATCCATAAAATGAGTACATACAATAAATCACCCTACAGTAGAGACTGTTGGCATATAGAGTTTAAATGTTTAAGATTAGGCATAAAGTTTTTCAGTCAAATTTTTTTGTAGAATTATGTTGTAGAATTATCCTTCATAGGATGTGAAATTATTAAGCAGAAAACATGTGTCATCTGTCTCTGGTGTTCCTGGAATTTTTTTC
Source organism: Homo sapiens (assembly GCF_000001405.40). Lineage (NCBI taxonomy): Eukaryota > Metazoa > Chordata > Mammalia > Primates > Hominidae > Homo > Homo sapiens. The sequence continues at coordinate 34,251,358 of NC_000012.12, read as the reverse complement.
TTTTTTATTGTATAATCCCATTTATATGAAATATCCAGAATATGCAAATCCATAGAGACAGAAAGTAGACTAGTGACTGCAAAGGGAGGAGGAGGAAAGAATAAAGAGTGACTGCTAAAAGGTATAGGATTTCCCTTTATCATCACTGCTTCCCCCACAGTGGTGACAGTCATACCTTGTTAATAAGCTAAAAACCAATGGATTATAAATTTTATTTATGTTTATTTTTAGAGTCTAAGATCTCACAATGTTGCCCAGGCTGTTCTTGAATTCCTGCCTCAAGCAATTCTCCACCTCAGTCTCCTCAGCTCCTGGGATTACAGGCATAAGCCACCATACCCAGTTCTGATGACTATACACTTCAAAATTGTAACTTTTATTGTGTGGTATGTATATCTCACCTAAAAAATAAAAGAACAGGGAGGTCTGTACTGAGATGATATAATCTCCAAATATATTAAGTAAAAAAAGAAAGGTACAGAATATTGTGTGCAATATACTACTATATTCTTTAAAAAATGTACACACATACATATACACTGTCCAGGCATAAAACCGCTGAAAAGACATATGGGAAACAAATTCCATTATTTCCTAAAGTGAAGGATCCTGGAGTGCCTGGGGATATGGTGGTATGGAAGGGAGATCTAACTTTTCAACATGCTCTTTTGTACCTTTTGAATTTTGTATAGAGTACAACACTTCTCGTATTTCCTAATTTAAAGAAAGAAAAAAGAATACTCTGATGCTTTCTCTTTAGTCTTTAGTTTTATTTTAAGAGATCATCTGCATTTTTTTCTGTAATAAACTTAAAAGATACCCACCCATTTTGTCAGATTTATTTATTCTTTAGCAATTTAAGTATTAAAATTACAGTTTTTGTCTCAATCCTTAATAATATTATATTCATTATATTTCAGATGTTTAGGTTTCTCATGGAGAAAAAGAAACACAGGCATAAACCTATATACTATCCACCTGCTAGTCCTGCAACATGATTTTAATAAAGTGTTACTGATATACTTGAACAATTTCTATGATGTCGGCAGAGTGATATCAACAAGAGTGATTATAAAGTAGCTGGCCTTATAGGTCAAGAGTTATGATCTTTGATCCACTGCTCAATCCATTTCAAGATCTGATCTACATTCTTTTCTTTCTTTCTTTTTTTTTTTTTTTTTTTTTTTTTTTGAGAAGGAGTCTCACTCTGTGGCCCAGGCTGGAGTGCAGTGGCTTGATCTCGGCTCACTGCAAGCTCCGCCTCCTGGTTTTTTGTATTTTTAGTAGAGACGGGGTTTCACCGTGTTAGCCAGGATGGTCTTGATCCCTTGACCTGGTGATCCACCCGCCTCGGCCTCCCAAAGTGCTGGGATTACAGGCGTGAGCCATCGCGCCCAGCCAGTCTGATCTACATTATTTTCTAGCTCTTCTGGTTTATTGCTGGGCAGCTGATGCACGATTTCTTCCTTGTGGGATGTTGTGGCTTCTTCATAGAGAACTTGAAAAATCTCACGCTGAATATTGTCTGTTAGAGTCTTCCAATTATAACCCCTTGTTTCAAGTCTTTTGTACAATACAGTGGTATCTGTTCTCAGCATAAAAACTATATGAAAAAAGTATTTAGGGAAGAAATCACAACCGTGGTAATCAACAATAACTCCATCTTCTCCCGTTTGTTATCTAACTCATCAACTACTCTGTCTTCTTCTAAAATGGGGCAATCATACTCTTCATCATAGCCATCATACAATTTCTCTTCTCAAGATAAATCACCCACATTCATGTATTCCAGTCCTGATATTGATGCAGGTTCTTTGTCTAGTGTGGTTTTTCCAACCCCTGGTGTACCGGTGAGCAGGATGTTCGGAAGCAACGATGGCTTGCCGCGACGTCTCCGAGTGCCTTGCTCACAAGCCCTTTGCACTACTCTGCCTGGAATTTCTAAACCAAATCCCAATGCCTCCCAATCCCTCCACAACTCCCCTCACACACTTCTGACTTGAAGCACCGTAGATTTATTTTTAAAAATGGCATAATAGGCCAGGCACGGTGGCTCACCCCTGTAATCCCAGCACTTTGGGAGGCTGAGGTGGGTGGATCACGAGGTCAGGAGATCAAGACCATCCTGGCTAACTCAGTGAAACACCGTCTCTACCAAAAATACAAAAAAAGAAATTAGCCGGGGGTGGTGGTGGGCGCCTGTAGTCCCAGCTACTTGGGAGGCTGAGGTAGGAGAATGGCGTGAACCCGGGAGGCAGAACTTGCAGTGAGCCGACATCGTGCCACTGCACTCCAGCCTGGGCGACAGTGTGAGACTCCATCTCAAAAAAAAAAAAAAAAAAACAGAAAAAAATAGAAATGGCATAACACAGAGTTCTCCAGAAATGTGCACAGATTTCAGTATATTCCCAAAAGTAATGAAAACTAGTCAGATCATGTACGTTCTTAAAGATTCTGGTAGGACTTTGGTTTTCAGTGTGAATGCACTGGAAGATTCTGGGATGGAGAAAAGAAGCCGTAGAAGATTGAAGAGCATAGTAAGCATGGGACAGGAAAATGTTTCTCTGTGACAGCAAGAAAAATAAAACTAGTCTTTTCCAAAACAATTTCCATTGGAGCAGAGATGACCAAACCACATTTAAACTCTGGCCTTCTCTGTGACTTTGGACCTCTCCCATGTGTTACCTGCTCATTTATTTTCACTTTGCTTTGTATATGGCAGTTGTCTCCTCTTTTCACACTCCAGGAATTTTGTCTTTGCTACAGACTGTCCACCACAGTTTTTTTTTCCTTCCCCCCAACAGTAATTGGGCTCACCAGAAAATGCCCAACTCCCAGCATCTTCCTCAGGAAAGAATTAAAACTGTAGAGTATGTGTTGGAATGTTTGTCTTTTTGAGAGATTGCCTTATGACTAGATTCTCTCTCTCCTGACATGGAGTGCTGAAGGACATGATGGGGTCATACGGATGACAATTGTGTCTGATGAGAAAAAAGATGAATGCTAGTTACAGCACTAGAGAAACTGCAACACCACAGACAGTCAACTGAGGAAGAAAATAGGTAATCAATCTAAAAACAATGAAACTAAATCTCTTTATCTTAGAAATACACACAAATCCAGAGAAGACATATCTGAGAATGGGTCTGTGAAGCACCTAGAATCTATAGCCTTTCTGATTGCTTTCAGTATCCCCCTTTACTAAGCCAGTTTTTGGTTTTGTTTTTTTTTGTTTGTTTGTTTGTTTGTTTGTTTGTTTTGAGACAGAGTTTTGCTCTGTCACCCATGCTGGAGTGCAGTAGCACAATCTCAGCTCACTGCAACCTCCATCTCCTGGGTTCAAGCGATTCTCTCGCCTCAGTCTCCTGAGTGGCTGGGACGACAGGCGCGCACCACAACGCCAGGCTAATTTTTTGTATTTTCAGTAGAGACGGGGTTTCGCCATGTTAGCCAGGCTGGTCTCAAACACCTGGCCTCCAGTAATCTGCCCATCTTGGCCTCCCAAAATGCTGGAATTACAGGCATGAGCTACTGCGCCCAGCCGTGCCAGTCTTTAAATGCTAGATTTGATGGATGTTGTATAAATTTCCAGATCTTATAAAAAAATTACAAGGCATACGGAGAAGGTGGAAAATATGCTTCACTGGAAGAAACAGAATAAATATCCAGAAGTTGAATCTTAAGAAATGAAGATTTTTGCATATCTGATGAAGAATTCAAAATAATTAACTTAAGCGTTCTCAGTGAACAAAAATAAAACAAAAATAGACAATTGAATAACATTTAAAATAATAAATGACCAAAATGTGATATCAACAAAGAGATGAAACCTTTTTCTAAAAACCCAACAGAAATTGTGGAGTTGAAGGATACAATAATTGAGGTTTAAAAATTCACTATGGAGCCACAACAGCAAACAATGGAGCAAAAAAAGAGTCAGCAAATTAAGCATATATTATTCACAAATATTTAGGCCTGGAAACTAATTTTTGAAAAGAATGAGAAAAATAAGGGCAAAATATGAGACTTACTGGACACCATCAAGTAGATCAATATATTCAGAGAAAGAGTCTTATAAAAAGAATATACGAAGAAAATGGCATAAATGTTATTTGGGGGAAAAAGAGGGGATGCTGAGAACTTTACACACTTCAGTGATGAAACAAAACATACTAGCAACCAAGAATAATTGATCTGGGAAAAAACGTACTTCAAAAATTAGAAAAAATAAAGACTTTCAAAGATTAAAATAAAAAATCTAAGGTTGTTTACTACTAGAATAACATTAGAAAAAAATGCTAAAGTGAGTCAACTATGTTGAAACATTAAATGATGCTGGAAAGCATCATAAAACCGTATGAAAATATAAAGCTCTCTGTTAAATGTAAATATATACACAGATATAAAATTTGCTATTGTAATAATAACGGTGCATAAAATTCTTAAATCTCTGTGAAAATACACACAATATAGAGAGATATAATTTGTAACGTTAATAAGAAAGTGGGGGAAGTAAAAATGAATATATTTTGTATGCTGTTAACTTGAAGTTGAAGGCAAAAGCTGCTTGCCCTGGGGACCTTAGCACTGGGCAAGGGAGGAGGCAAAGCTGCCATTTTCTCTCCCTTAGTTCTTCCATCTCCCCCTACTCTGCATAAGGATTTTTCAAAGATTTTTGTACAGAAATATCCTGGGGGAAGGGCAGTAATTTTTCTCTTCAGATGAATGGCAGATAAATTACTCAACCAATATAAAAAAGACAATTTTTCTCTGTGAGGCAAATGCTCTACAGGTTTGCATGTAGCCTACTTTAAAAAGACTGAGGTTTCCTAATCTTGAAGTTGCTCAGCTGTGACACCGATCTTCCCCATGTGCAATGTCCATCTGAGCCTTTTGAAATCCCTCTAAAAAATGTAGTGTGGACAAGGAGAACTAATACAAACATAAAGCTTTTGCCTCCAGTTCTGCAGTCAATCGTAAGTATTTTTGTCATACTTCGGTGTCTTACGCCTTCTACCAGCATCCATGACACTGGAAGATTAATAGGTTAGTTTACAAATAGGATAAAATCTAAGATCCTTCACAGTGATTTAGTTTTGGTGATGAGAGTGGGATGCTGCGATAAACACAACTTTCTGAAAGGGGGAAAGATACAAATACTTGAAGAGCTTGCAAGGGATATGTGAATTTCCCCTAGGACCAACAGCAAATTCTCTCAGCCAAGTGGTTAGTGTGGTGAAACAAGGGCTCTACACTTGCAGTCTGCTAACAAGGCTGATCCATGAGAGGATTAAAACCAAGAGCCTGAGTGCTTCACATGTTCATTTTTCTCCTGCTGAAAGGATCAAGGAGTCCTTAAAGCTAATGTTGAGGCTTGGGTGAGTCCAAACCACTAGAAGTTCATGTGGTTGAACTGTGAGTAGCCAAAAGGCTGCTGAAAGCTACATTAAATGGGTCTTGTTAGTCTCTTCTTTACCCACATGAAGGTGCCCACTCCCGCTGCACTCCAAAATTTTTTCCTTCATCTATAGCCAACTTCAGCAATTTTAAGTATTAAACTACATAAGATTGGAGATTTGGAGGGGGGAAGTCAAGCTTTTATAGTTCTGTTGGATAGAGGTATCTAATTCACTATTCAGTGTAGTCTCCTAGGGTGCACGGGGAGATACATGTGTAAGGGTGGCTGGAAGTGCTGACAAATGTAGGGTTAAGAGTGATTACAAAGTGGTAGAAAGGAAAAAGTTCTTAATCCTGGGTACTCTTGAAATGTAAGGCATCACAGACCTTAGTATAACAAGCCAAGAGAGAAAAATTCTCCCAACCACTCAAATCCTCTTTTTCATGTGAATCACTTCTGGCCCCTCGTGCCCTCATACTCCTGCCTAGGGGATAGTGTCATCCTACTTTAGCCCTTGCCTCAAACAAATACTTAACACAATGGTCTGTGTTTAAACAGAAGAAGCTGAGTAGAGAAAAAAATTTGGGCAAATTCTACATGTGCTTCATGACTCATAAATTACAAACTGTAGGGTGAACATAATAACAATAAGAGTTCTGTAAATACAGATTTGATTTTATTTTTGAGATAGGATCTCACTAACACCCAGGTTGAAGGGCAGTGGTGTCATCTTAGCTTATTGCAACTTCCATCTCCTGGGATCAAGTGATCTTCCGAAGTAGCTGTGACTACGGATGCGCACCACCACACTCGCCTAATTTTTTATTTTGTGTAGAGATGGGGTTTCCCCATGCTGCCCTGGCTAGTCTTGAACTCCTGAGCACAAATGATCTCCCTCCTCATCCTCCAAAAGTTCTAGGATTACAGGAGTGAGCCACCGCGCCTGGCAGAGTTCTGTAAATATACATTTAATGAGCATTATGTGGCAATAGATGTTCTTAGATTTACAGAAATAAATATGTAATTGATACTAAGTACAACCCCAAGGCTCTTTTTAAAAATTCTCTGATTTCTTCTGTGAATTAGGCAAGTCAATTCCTTCAGCTTCATCTGATGATAAAAAGGGACAGACAGTATGAGTCACCAGGCTGCGGGGAGCAGAGAAAAAAGATTGGACTGTAGTTCACTGACCTATTTCTCCTGTGACTGGCACTATTCTGTCTCTCCACAAAGTTCAACAAGTTGTGATTTCTTATAGGCTGTGTCTGAAGTATCCATAAATGTTATTAGGTTCCAGCTGAGCTATGCCTTTGGAATACTTTACTATCTGTTATCTACAGAAGAAAATACATGCAGCTACTTAAGGGCACATTCTCTGCCAAGCACTGTGCTAAGCAGAAGCTTACAGGTGTGAGTTGACTTAATCTTTAGGAAAGCTCAAGGATCAAGGGACTCATTATTCCAGTTTTACACAGGAGGATAAAGTGTTGTCTCATTGTGAGCAGCTGCCTAGAAAGAATAAATAAATAACCAAAGCCACATGGCTGGTAAGTGGTAAACTGGAATCTCAAAAGCAGTCATTTAATCCTATCAATTTGGCTAGCTGAGCAACCCCTTGCCAGTGGTCTAAAAAATACCAGGGAAAGAGAGGGTGGCAATTGTGCATTTGAAAAACAGGTAAAAACCTGGTGTTGATATTCAGAAAAAAGGTATTCGATTATCACAACACTTGACATCCATTTTTAACTTAATGCAGCGCATAAAAGTGTTTACAAAAGTTGCACATGCTTTGGGGATCAACGTTTGGGAGGGATTTACATAGAATATACATTTACCTTAAGAAACATGTGTTCAGCTCCTAGTAACTCTATGTCTATCAAATATATAATTATTACACAAATTAGGTGTTTCAGCTAATAATGAAATTGCTAATTATGTGTTTAATAAATGTTATATTTATTTATAAATTGATACAATTTTAATAAATTTATAAATAAGTTCAATCATTACTCTTCAGTGATCACTAAGAACTGGTTGAATACACCTTAGACCACATAACACGTGTGTGAGTGAGTGTGTGTGTGAGTGTGTAATGTATATTTTGTCTGTTTCTATATACAATGTATATTTTATCTATATATTATAAATAATATACATATAATATATGGCATATATAAAGATAATACACACACACTACATGACTGACAACATGTATTTTATGTGTATATATATATTTTTAAATTAATTTTTTTTTTTCGAGAGGAGTCTCGCACTGTGGCCCAGGCTGGAGTGCAGTGGCATGATCTCAGCTCACTGCTACCTCTGCCTCCCAGGTTGAAGCGATTCTCCTGCCTCAGCCTCCCAAGTAGCTGGGATTACCAGCACCCACCACCATGTCTGGCTAATTTTTGTTTGTATTTTTAGTGGAGACGGAGTTTCAGTATGTTGGCCAAGCTGGTCTCAAACACATGACCTTGTGATCCAGCTGCCTTGGCCTCCCAAAGTGCTGGGATTAAAAGTGTGAGCCACCGCGCCCAGCTTGTATTCTATTTTTATTAGTGTTTAATTTACTGGTGTCCACAAGAAAGAAATAAAATACATTTTACAGGTAAAATCAAAGCACTAGTTATTAATCCCTGCATCTAGTCTTTATTCAGAATGAGGGCTGGTATAATTAAATAACAAGTAAGATTGGTCCGGGCATGGTGGCTCATGCCTGTCATCCAAGCACTTTGGGAGGCCGGCCGAGGTGGGCGGACCACTTGAGGTCAAGAGTTCAAGACCAGCCTGGCCAACATGGCAAAACCCCATCTCTACTAAAAATACAAAGAATTAGCCTGGCATAGTGGCACGTACCTGTAGTCCCAACTACTAGGGAGGCTGTGGTTGGAGAATCGTTTGAACCTGGGAGGCAGAGCTTGCAGTGAGCTGAGCTCATGCCACTGCGCTCCAGCCAGGGTGATAGAGCAAGATCCTATATCAAAAAATAAATAAATAAATAAATAAGTAAAATTACCATAAACATAATTTATTTTTTGTATATTTCTCTATTGTTTTTCCCATCAGGTTTAAATCTTTATTTAGAAACTTTTGCCTTTTTAAAGATCTGTTCCACACTGTTCACCCAAACTCTCACTGCCAAAACCTTAGCTTTGTGAAGTTTTTTATTTTAGCCCTGACTCCTGAATAGTACCTCTGAACCAACCTAGGGCCTAAAGAAACTTGCTAAACTGACATGAGTAATTGAGGCCTGGCTGACTTTTTCACCTGCTGATTATAGATCCATAGCATCTTGAGTGAACATAGACAATAACCAGGAAGCTGTGATGTCAGGCCTTGGGTGAGATCAAGCACTCTGTTGGATTCAGGTCTGACCCAGTGCAGTCATAGTGGTCATGGCCACAGAGATGTTTGTGTCACTCCACTTCATTTTCATGTGTCTCAGGACACACACACACATGCACACACACACACAGACTCCATTTGTTTGGGAGAAGGTAAAAGAAGAAAAGAAGAGTCTCTGCTAGATAATTCAGAAAATTCTCCAAGACCATGTTGTCCAAGACCATCAAGGTAGTACCTCTGTGAGCCTGCAAGAACCACAGTGTTACTGGGCTTGAGATGTCCCCTAAAGTAGAAAGAGCTTAGATCACAACACCCAAGTCCTTTCAAATATCTCTAAAGCCTTCTCAGGAACAATGGCTACAAACAAGTCCAGGCAGTGTTGACTACAATAAATATCAAAATCTTCAATGGCGAGACACCCACAAAGATCTACTGGCATCAGCAAATCATTAAAAGAAATACTTAACCAAATGAACCAAAAAAGGAACCAGGGACCAATCCTGGAGAAACAGAAACGTGTCATTTTTCTGAAAGAGAATTCTAAATAGCTGTATTAGGGAAACAAAGAAATTCAAAATAACAAAAAGAAATTCAAAATTCTATCAGATACCTTTAACAAGCAGATTAAAATAGTTGTATTTATTTATTTACCTCTTTATTTATTTAGACAGAGTTTCATTCTTTTTGCCCAGGCTGGAGTTCAGTGGCACGATCTCAGCTCACTGCAACCTCCTCCTCACGACTTCCAGTAATTCTCCTGCCTCATCCTCCAGAGTAGCTGGGATTACAGGCGCCCTCCACCACACTTGCCTAATTTTGTGTTTGTAATAGAGATGGGGTTTCATCATGTTGACCAGGCTGTTTTCAAACTCCTGACCTCTGGTGATCCACCCATCTCAGCCTCCCAAAGTGCTGAGATTACAGGCGTGAGCCACCGCAGCCAGCCTATTGTTTGCTTTTCTTGCTTCCTTTGTTTCTTTAACAAGAATGGACACTTCTACCTGGGTTTTAAAAATTGTGTAAAAGAAAAATAAATTTTGGGGCTTCCAAAACACTAAGCTAAAGGGAAAACTCAAGATGGGAACTGCTTAGGGCCATTCTGCCTCCCATTCTATTCAAAGTCACTCCTCTGCTCACCGAGATAAATGCATATTTAATTTTCTCCTTTGGAGAGGCTAATCAGAAACTCAAAAGAATGCACCCATTTGTCTCTCAACTACCTATGAGCCGAAAGTCCCCTCCTTGCTTTGAGAATTCCCGCCTTTGCTTCAAGTTGTCCCGCCTTTGCAGACTGAACCAATGTTCATCTTGCACACATTGATTGATGTCTCCGGTGTTCCTAGAATGTATGAAACCAAACTGTGCTCTGATGACCTTAGGCACACGTCCTCAGAACCTCCTGAGGCTGTGTCATGGGTGTGTGTCCTCAACCTTGGCCAAATAAATTTTCTAAATTCACTGAGACCTGTCCCAAGTTATCAGGGTTCACAATGGATGGTGCATTGTAGCTCCACCCCAGGACTTCTCATTAACAAGAACTATCCGGAATCTCTCCAGATGCAGTGAAACCAGGTATATGTAAACTGTATGAAACTTAATGGTACTTACTAGAAGTATATGAATGAATGTTAAGGAAAAACCACTAACCGCCCACCTTTCAAAGAAACAATAACACTGTGAATTCTGTGTCATTTCCAGAGTCAGCTTGTTTCCTGAATCGTCCCCACTAAACTTGAAAACATTCCAGAGTGAGCTATTGTCCCTCCAGACTTTGGCCCTCCCACTTCTGTCCCCTGTGCCTCCACTCAACCCTTACATGGATCACATTCTCTGATTCTGCAAAAGCAGGTGGAAGCCCTGAAGATAGTTATTTTTTTCTTTTTCTTTTTCTTTCTTTCTTTTTTTGAGATGGGGTCTTGCTCGGTCACCCAGGCTGGAGTGCAATGGCATGATCTCTGCTCACTGCAGCCTCCTCCTCCCAGGTTCCAGCTATTCTCCTGCCTCAGTCCACCGAGTATCTGGGATTACAGGAATGTGCCATGACACTCAGCCAATTGTTGTATTTTTAGTAGAGACAGGGTTTCACCATTTTGGCCAGGCTGGTTTCAGGTGATCCACCCATCTCGGCCTCCCAAAGTGCTGGGATTACAGGCATGAGCCACCGCGCCTGGCCAGAGAACAATGATTTTTAAATGATTTTTTTGAGTCATGAACTCCCTGAGAATATTATAGAAGTTAGGAGCTCTCTCTTGAGTAAAATGCACACACACATACAGAATGTTCCCAGAGCCTCTGAAGCCCCACCATGCATCCCTGGCTGAGAATCCCTGGTCTATAGAATATGTTCTTCTTATAGTGCTATTCATCACAAAACAAGTTGCCCCATCATGACCTGATGTTGAAATGCACATTTGAAATCTTGCAGTCACATAACCTCAAGGGTTTGGTCAAGAAACACAGACTCCTCCCACAGCAATGTGGCAAAAACTTTGGATAGTATGCCAGGGCTTCCTTCTGGACTGTTTATGATTTCTCCATACTCTTGAGCACGTACACAACAATCTGAGAAGCTAAAGGCACAGAAGCTGGTCTTAATCTGAGCAAATCAACAGCTTTCAGAAGCTGCAGAGAAATGAAGCATCAGAGAAAGTGAAAAATTGTCCCTAATGATAGCTCAAAAAATAGGGCTGATTAGGCAAACTGTGTATCCCTGAGTTTCAGTGGATCCCAGTTGTCATGGATCACCAATCACTGTTACCAACCTCCTAGGAGCATCCTGCTCACCTGTTTGGCAGTCAAACTCAATAGAACAGACTTTAGAGTGAGGCAGGCCTGGATTTAAGTGCTGGCTTTCTTTGCTGTATAAATTTGCTGAGGCTGCTTAGCTTCTCTGAACCTTGGTTACCTCATCTGTAAAATGGGAATAACAAGAGAATCTACCTCATAGGATTATTGTGAACATTAAATGAAATAGGGCATGTAAAGTGCTCAGCACCCTACTCAGCAAGGGGGAAGTACTCAGTAATATGGCTGTTACTATTGACAGTAGCAGAGGGCAATAACAGCATAACTCCGGAGTTAGGAAAACTCGATTCCAGGTCAGACGTGGTGACTCACGCCTGTAATCCCAGCACTTTGGGAGGCCAAGGCAGGCGGATCACTTGAACCCAGGAGTTCAAGACCAGCTAGGACAACATAGTGAAACCCTGTGTCTACAAAAAATACAAAAATTAGCCAGGTGTGGTGGTGCAGGCCTGTGGTTCCAGCTACTCAGGAGGCTGAGGTGGGAGGATCGCTTGAGCCGAAGAGGTTGAAGCTAAAGTGAGCTGTGATTGCACCATTGCGCTCCAGCCTGGGCGATGTGGCAAGGCCCTGTCCCCAAAACAAAAAATAAACAACAAAAAACCCTTGATTCTAGATTTTGACTTCACCAATTACTTGCCGGTTTAACTTTGTGCAGGTTACTGAACTCTCCCATTTTTAGTTTCCTCAACTGAAGCACAGGGTTAATCCTTACTTCAAAGTGTAGTTCAGCCAGGCGCAGTGGCTCCTTCCCGTAATCCCAGCGCTTTTGGAGGCCAAGGTGGGTGGATCACTTGAGGTCAGGAGTTCAAGACCAGCCTGGCCAACATGGTGAAACCCTGTCTCTACTAAAATTACAAAAATTAGCCGGGTGTGGTGGTGCATGCCTGTAGTCCCAGCTACTTGGGAGGCTGAAGCAGGAGAATTGCTTGAACCTGGGAGGCAGAGGTTGCAGTGAGCTAAGACAGCACTGCTGCACTCCCGTCCAGGTGACACAGTGAGACTCCATCTCTAAAAACACTTCCCCAATAACCAAAGTGAAGTTCAATGAGCTAATAATGCATGTAATATATGTGCTTAGACATGCCTGGTACATATTAAACACTCAGAAAATAGTGACAATAAAGAAGATGATGATGCTAATAATAGTTAATACTTACAAAGTTCTTACTAAATGTCAGGAACTGTTCTAAGCACTTTACATGTATTTTTTTTATTTAGTTGTCATAACCAATACGGTAAGTCCAATTATAATCTTTGGATGAGGCCTGCAAAACTCAAATAAATTGTCCCAGATCACAGAGCTGGTAAAGATTTTTTTTGGTAGGGTCTTGCTCTGTTGCCCAGGCTGGAGTGCAGTGGCATGATCACAGCTCATCACAACCTCAACCTCCTGGGATCAAGTGATCCTTCTGCCTCAGCCTCCTCAGTAGCTGGTACTACAGGTGTGTGCCACCATGCCCAGCTAATTTTTAGATTTTTTTTTTGTGAGATTGTGTCTTGCTATGTTGCTCAGACTGGTCTCAAACTTCTGAGCTCGAGTGATCCTCCCACCTTGGCCTCCTAAAGTGCTGGGATTACAAATGTGAGCCAACATGCCTGACAAAATTTCAACCTAGATAGAGCTTGAGACCGTGCCCTAAACCACTGTTTTGCTGAGAATAATGTGTCAAAATCAGCACTGTAAATCAGAGATTCAAGATCACTTCACTAAGGTTTGAGAGACTTCCCATTTCTGGCTGGAGCTCCCCTCCCTGCCCCATCAGCTTTCATGGCTTGCGGAGGCACCGCTATCCAAAAACAGGTGCACTGCTAGGGCCACATGCTGTTCTAAGAGAACCAAGACAGCCTTCTCCAAATTCTTCTAGATGTGCCGTTAGTCTCAGTTAGCCAATGATCACTGACTGCTCTAATATGAGAGAGACAGCCCTTCTGCCTGACCACACCAAGAGAAAACATTCAGGGTTTGCTTGATTTCATGAGGGGAACTTATTGGAGTGGAAGAATGTTCTTTGCAGGCTTGTTTTGCAACTTCCCAGCTCGTGCAGGCTCCAGTGACAATGGTGTGATTAGGGAGCCCAGACTAATGGAAGACCCAGGGCCTCCTGCTCTCCTCCAAAAGTCGCAAGGCTCCCATTGTCACGGCTCACAGGAAACCAAGAAGAGCACCAGGGACAGGTGGCAGACATGCCAACATCGTGAAAAGGATGGGTAATTGAACATAGCTAGGTTACATTAATCACCCAGGGTCAGAGAACAGAACCAGGAAAGGAGAGAGGGAAGAAATCACTCTAGTCTTTCTGGTCAGTTGGCACAGGAGCAGTGGCACAAAATGGTTTTATGTGGGGGATTTAGCTCACATAATCTCATCATGGCACCCCCTCCTTGCAAACTGCCCCAAATAAACAATCTAAATTCAAGGCCAGCCCCAGCCTCACATCTGATGAGATTGCTGCCTTGAGCTCCTCCTTTATAGAAATGCTGGCAACACCATGGCTGCTCAGCCACCTATAGTTTAGGGGGAACATAGAGGCTTGCATTTGCACTGCAAATGCACTGATTCAGAGGCAGGGAGCCCTGAAGCCCAGGGACAGTCTCCTAGATCTAACTATCTGCAGGGATTAACTGTCATTATCACCTCTGGGATGTGTGTTCTGCAGACCCTGCTTTCTATTTGGCCCTGCCCAGAGGATTGATTTCAGCAACTATAAATTTGGAGGGAGCTGTCAGTCTTGGAAAAGATTCTGGAATGGAGACCTGAAAGCAAGGAGGAAACACGTTTCCCAGGAACCAAATACAAATATGTTCAAATACAAATCATGTCTGACCACTCCCTAGGCTCCTCTGAGTGGGTTACAAGACTATAGGCTCGGGGAGCTTCAGGAGATATGCACCATCAGGCTTCAGTGAACAGAATCTGTAGGGAATTGCCACATGGCCTCTGACCTTGCATATGATCTAGGTGAAGATACATATTTTTCTCACAATATGACAGATGGCATGAAGCTAGGAGGCAGATACACTTGGGATGACAGAATCAGGAATCCAAAAGATAGTGTAAAATAAGGGTAAAGTGCTGACTAAAAGATGAAATTTATGAATAGCAGGAACAGATATGGTCTTGCACTTTGGTCAATAACATAACAAATAAAACCAACCAAAGGACCCTCCACAGGTTTAGACTCTTGTCACTGTTACCCTCAGCACAAAACATAATCTTGTGAGGTCCCACTTCCTCACTTGTAAAACTAGGATAATAATAGCCCCTACATTATAAAGTTGTTGTGAGAAATAAATCAGTTAATGTAGGCAAAGTACTTACTTAACATGGTGATGATGATGATGATGGTGATGGTGATGATGGTGGTGGTGGTGATAGTGATGGTGGTGATGGTGATGGATGATGGTGATGGTGCTGATGATTACGGTGATGGTGATGATGGTGGTTATGTTGATGATGGTGTTGGTATGATGATGTGGTGACAGTGATGGTAATGATGGTGATGATGATAGTGATGATGATGGTGGTGATGGTGATGGTGATGATGGTGGTGATAGTGATGGTGATGACTGGTGATGGTGATGATGGTGGTGATAGTGATGGTGATGATGGTGATGGTGGTATGATGTTGATAGTGATGGTAGTGATGGTGATGGTAATAATGGTTGTAGTGATGATGGTGATAGTGATGATGATGGTGATAGCGATGGTGATGATGGCGGTGATAGTGATGGTGATGATGATGTTGATGATAGCGATGGCGATGATGGTGATGGTGATGGTGGTGATGATGGTGATAGATAACACATGGTGCCAATCATAGTGCTTCCCACTAGGCAGTCTCATTCCAGAGCCTATGTTCTTAGCCATCTTGCTATACTAATTCTCATAATTGTTAAGTATAATTATTATAATCATTACTGACTAGGAAGAAATGTAGCTGATCCACAGCATGTGTAAAAATGACTTTAAGGATGATGGCTGACAGCAAGTTCAACACGAGTCACATAAAGGCTCTCTGTAATGAGGTGGTGACAGTCCCAAGCTACTTTTTGCAGCATGGGTATCACAAAAGGAGAGGCCTAAAGACACACAGAGCAGGATCAGAAGGAAATGACTACGGCTGGGTGCAGTGGCTCATGCTTGTAATCCCAGCACTTTGGGAGGCTGAGGCAGGTGGATCATCTGAAGTCAAAAGTTCGAGCCCAGCCTGATGAACATGGTGAATCCCCATCTCTACCAAAAATACAAAAATTATCTGGGTGTGGTGGTGTGCACCTGTAATCCCAGCTACTTGGGAGGCTGAGGCAGGGGAGTTACTTGAACCTGGGAGGCGGAGGTTGCAGTAAGCCGAGATCACACCATTGCACTCCAGCCTGAGTGACAAGAGTGAAACTCCGTCTCAAAAAAAAAATAAAAATAAAAATAAAAAAGAAGGAAATGACCAGAATGACCAAACCATAGCATAAGAAGAATAGCCAAGACCAGATATTGTGGCTTACGCCTGTAATCTCAGCATGTTGGGAGCCTGAGGCAGGAGGTTCACTTAAGCCCAGGAGTTTGAGACCAGCCTGGCAACATGGTGAGACCCTGTGTCTAAAAAAACTTAAAAAATAATAGCCAGAGGACCTGGCATGTTTTGCCTGAAGAAAATACTTGGGGGACATGCCAGCCACTTTCTAAGGCCTTAAACCTGCTTCATAGGATCCAAGGCCCAGAAGTAGATCAGGTGAAGGTAGGCCCTAGGTAGACAGATCTCAGCTCAATACAGGAAGGCCTTTGTGATGTGTTGATCCAAGATGAACAGGAAGCATCCTGTCCCAGAAGCATCCGGGTGCTGGCAGAATCGAGAAGTCTGGGACTCAAACACTGCATAGGGGAGTAGCTATTTTAGAGGCTCTAAATAGCTCTTCCAAGTGTGGAACTAGGACCATCTGATGACCACATGCATCACCTGGGGGCTTGTTAGATACATACATCCAGAGACTCCACCCCAACAACTGAGTCTGAATCTGCATTTTCACAAGTTGCCCAGCTGATCTGTGTGTACATGAATGCTGACAAGCACTGATGTGGAGATCATCTGAGGAAGACCCAGGTTCAGGTGGGCTGCTGCTCTGAAAAGCAAGAGTGGGGAGAAACGCTGGGGCAAGGAAGAGCAGGTGGTGCTAGAGTCTGGTCTCTATGGGGATGGCCCAGCTGTGCTTCCAGCCCAGCTGCTCGAATTATGTCTGTTTTTTTATCTAGTCAGGTTCAGAAGAGTCATTCAAATTTGCATAAGGAGGCCTGAGGTAAAGGGGCTCATGGGCACAGGTATTCATCTGACACCTCATTAGGCCATCTTGGTAAATCATCTCTAGAATGCCTGTTGTTATTTTAGGAAACAACATAAAGAGGATGATAATTAAAAGTACCCTGAGTGGGAATTTCTACTTCCTTCCAGTGGTTGGCAAGTAAAGCACCTTGGGAATTTTTGGGTAAATTAATGTTTCCATACATTTTCACAGATAACACAACATCAAACTTGTCTATGCTGCAGGTTGTTTTCTCTTTCCTGTGCTGGTGATTTGGGTTTGCAGCTTTATTCTATTGCTGGTTTTTTGTCTTCTGTTTTTTTGTTGTTGTTGTTGTTGTTGTTGTTTGTTTTTTTTCCTTTGCACTAAGCATTTTCTGATTTTACTTTGACTTTCAACAGGGGAGGGTATTGCTTCTGGATGTTACATGACATCCAAAGCATAAAATGGTAAACGAAGCTGAAGATCGTTTTCAGTTGAAAAGGCAATTTTATGCTTCATGGTTAGAACCATGTAAGGCATTTTTATGGCGCGGTATTTTTCATCTTAGATCTCCATCGGGATGGCATCCGGGGATTTGCTGTCTAGTAGAAAGTTCACCTTTCAGTTACCCACTGCCTGTCTGCAGCCTCCTAGCCTTGCTGCTCTCCTGCACATGCGCAAGGGCATTCCTGTTAGACCTGCTCCCCTCCTGGGACTGGTGTTGCCATATTCCCCTGGTTTTCAGGGCCCCTTGCCATGCATCTTTCCTGTCCCTCACAATCCTCATTGCCTACCTGCAAGACCCACTGTCTAGGACCTGAGCCCCTTAGTAACACTCCTTGATCTACCTTACACCCTGTCCTCCTGCTCTTCCTCTCTGATAAAACCCTAACTTGGGGTCATCCCACCATCTGCCTTCTCTGCTCCTGACTCCACCCTGCTGAGAGAGGAGAAAGTTCACAGAAGCACCTGCTGAGGCCACCACAGTTTCAAGGTCTCAAGCCTTTCCTAGATTCTTGTGCTGTCTGACAACAATTTTACTTATCCTAAATCAGCACCTCTCCTCAAAAAAAAAAAAACAAAAAAACACCTTTTATTTGACCCTACTTCCCTGCCTCACAGAGGAGCCTTCTCTTTGCCACAACTTGTTGACAGCTCTTTCAATACCAGTCCGTTTTGTTAACTCACTGAGGCAGCTTTTAGGATGCTAGAACAGATTCCATGGCCCTGTGCTAAAGCAAATGAATTTGAATCTGTCAGGTGGAGCCCAGCGTTCTTTTTTATTTACTTTTATTATTTTTTTTAGAGACAGGGTCTTGCTCTATCACCCAGGCTGGAGTTCAGTGGCATGATCATAGCTCACTGTAGCCCCTCACTCTCTGGGCTCAAGAGATCCTGCTGCCTCAGCCTCCTGAGCAGCTGGCACTACAGGTGCAAGCCACCATGCCGGGCTATTTTATTTTATTTTATTTTATTTTTGATACAGAGTCTTGCTCTGTTGCCTATGCTGGAGTGCAGTGATACGATCTCGGCTCACTGCAACCTCCACCTCCCAGGTTCAAGGGATTACCCTGCCTTAGCCTACTGAGCAGCTGGGAGGCGTGTGCTACTACAGCCGGCTATTTTTTTTATTTTTAGTAGAAACAGGGTTTCACCGTTTTGGCCAGGCTGGTCTCGAACTCCTGACTTCAAGTGATCCACCCACCTTGGCCTCCCAAATTGCTGGGATTATAGGCATGAGCCACTGCACCCGGCCGCTAATTTTTTATTTTATATATTTTTTGTAGACATGGGGTCTTGCTGTGTCCTGAACTCCCGGCCTCAAGAGATCCTTCTGACTCAGATTCCCAAAGGACTGGGATTCTAGGCGCAAGGCACTGTGCCTGGCAGGGTTTCATATTCAAAAAAGCTGCATAGTTAGGAACCAGTTATTGGTCTATATCCCTGAGTTTTTCCTCGCTTTTTGTCTTCTCAAACGGTTACAGTCTGGCTTCTGCCTTGACCACTCTGTTAAATACTTCATCAGGTTCAGGACAACAACCACCACACCCATGCAGGTTCCCAGGTCTCCTGCCACTTGACCTCCCTGGAGTATTGACACTGTTGGTCACTCCAAGACTTCCAGACACCTCTTCTCTTTCTTTGCCTTCTACCCCTGGCCATCTCCCTTGGCACGTTAAGGTAGACCCTTCTTGGACCTTAAATGTTGGTAATTGGTTACTACAGTTTCCCAGGGTTGAATCCTCAGACCACTTTTCTCCTGAAACTACAATTCCTCCCTGGAAAATCCATGTGGCTTAATCTACAAAGTACACGCTGAAGTATGTCTCCCAGCTCTCATTTCTCTAACGTCACATTCATGGGTCCAACTGCTGGAGATGTAAGGTGCCTGTGGGGTATACATCTCCTCTGTTCACCCCACAGGCACCCTAACCTCAAATATTTCAAGATCAAATCCACAGTTCTCCCAGCCCCCAGCCCCATGCCAACTCCCCCTCCTCCCCTACTCACGACTCGCTGAACATCCCCATCTCTACTGCCCAGCAGCTGCCCTAGAGTCCCGGGGTCATCGCACAGCCTTCTGCTTCTTCATCAATGCATTCAGTTCAGGCCCCCTGTTTTTTACCTCCTAAATATGATTAAACTGCCTTCTTCCACCTGACCCTTAGTTTGGGTCTCATCTCTTGCTTGGACTATTAAAATAGCAACCCCCCACCCCCCCTACTTTTTTTTTTTAAAGAGATGGAGTCTCACTATGTTGCCCAGACTGGACTTGAATTCCTAGATTAAAGTGATCCTCCCGCCTCTGTCTCCCGAGTAGCTGGGCTACAGGTACACACCATTGTGCCTGGCTCCAACAACAGCTTCCAAAATGGTCTCTGTCTCCATTCAAGTCTCACCACAACAATTGTTTGGGTGATATTTGTTTTTGAAACACGATCTCCCTCTGTCACCCAGGCTGGATCAAAGTTCACTATAAACTCCACCTCCCTGGTCAAGGGATCCTCCCACCTCAGACTCCTCCAGAGTAGCTGAGACTACAGGTGCAGGCCACCACACCTGGGTAATTTTTTTTTTTTTTTTTTGTAGAGATGAGGTCTTGGTATGTTGCCCAGGCTGGCCTTGAACTCCTGGGCTCAAGCAGTCTGCCTGCCTCGACCTCCCAAAGTTCTGGGATTACAGGTGTGAGCCACCACGCCCAATCTGGGGCAATATTTCTAAAATGCCAATCTTGCCACGTCAGTCCCCAGCTTCAAATGCTTGAAGGCCCTCCATGATCTAAAGTTAAAATTCCAGCCAGAGACGGTGGCTCACATCTGTAATCCAAGCACTTTGGGAGGCCGAGGCGGGTGGATCATCTGAGGTCAGGAGTTCAAGACCAGCCTGGCCAACATAGTGAAACCCTGAATCTACTAAAAATACAAAAATTAGCCAGGCATGGTGGCATGTGCCTGTAATTCCAGCTACTCAGGAGGCTGAGGCAGGAGAATAGTTTGAACCCGGGAGAGGGAGGTTGCAGTGAGCCGAGATCACGAGATCGCCCCACTGTACTCCAGCTTGGGCAACAGAGCGAGACTTCATCAAAAATAAAAAATAAAAAAATCCCAGCTCTTCATCATGGCCCAGAAAGCCAATCACGACTGTACCCAACTGCAGGGCTGGGCAGATGAGGTGCCTAGGATGCAAAATTAAGGAGACACACACTCTCAGTTGCTGACCCTGCATGTGCACGACCCTGAGACTGAGTGTTGCCTTAAATTTTGCACCCTAGTCCTCACCCTGCCCATCTGCTTCTTGGCTTAACAGTCATCCCAACTCCTGCATTCTGTGCTTTGGTACTCTCACTCTCCTTGTGGCTAGTTCCTCACAGACACTGAGAAGCTTCTCACAGCTCAGGACTCTCTTTGGAAGCCTCGTTCTACCCTGGCCTCTATGCTCCTTCAGTCCCATGGGCATTATCTCTACAACTGCTCTGACCACATTAGGTTCTCCCCATCCCTCTGAACTTCTCAAGGGCAGACACTGTTCCATCCTCTCTCTCTCTCAGGCAGCATGTAGCAGTCATTAGGTGCTCTATAAATGTTAGCTGAACTGAACACAAATCTGCTCTGGGAACTCACATGAGTTAACTTCGGGTTCATTGCCCAAGGCCCACATTCCCACTAAACCCCTTCAGAATGCAGTGACCACTAAGGATGGCTATGCATCAGGAATGAACAAGAGCCAACCCCTGTCCAGACCCAGGCTGGAGGAAGGGTAGATTGAACCATCAGCTCTCCAAGAATGGTGGCTAGAACTCTAGCAAATAACTCCCCTTCTGACAAATTCACTGACTGTTAGCCTGCAATTTTCACAGAAATTACACATTGCCTGGCCAAGTGCTAAATTTTGAGCTTTCTTCCTGCCAAGTTTCTACCATGCTGGTTCATGTTTGCCAGTCTTGTAGTGGTAATGTGTTTTCCAGTGGGGAACATGAGTAGCTTCAGGAGTTATTCTGGAAGCTCATGAAGTGGATCTTGAGCCATTTTATAGGAAGGATTCAGTAACGTGCCCTCCTAAAGAATACCATTGCTACCAAGAGAAGTCCTTGGAGATTTTGCATTAAACCTTGAATACTATCTAGGAGGGACTTATCATACAGTAAACAGCTCTGGGGTAAACACATTTCATAAAGTCCAACGTCATGAGTTTAACTTTTTTACTGTTATCCAAATACTTTCTTCCCTGTAGCCTTACTTTTTTTTTTTTTTTGATAGGGTCTTGCTGTGTCACCCAGGCTGAGTGCAGAGGCACAATCATAGCTCAATACAGCCTTGAACTGGGTTCAAGCAATCCTCTGCCTCAGCCTCATAAGTGGCTGGCACTATAGGTGAATGCCACTGGGCCCAACTAATGTTTTTATTTTTTATTTTTTTGTAATAGAAATGGGGTCTCTCTACATTTCTCAGGTTCTTGAACTCCTGGACTTAATCAATCCTCCTGCCTTAGCCTCTCAAAGCTCTGGGATTCAAGGCGTGAACCACTGTGCCCAGCATCAAAATTTTTTTTAGGCATGCTGGGGCATGCCTGTGATCCTAGCTACTCAGGAGGCTGAGGTGGGATGACCTGAGGAGTGAGACCATGTCTCTAAAAAAATCAATAAATAAAATAATAAAAAGAGAGTACATAGTAGGGCAACGATAGACTGCCATTACCTTGAAAGAGAAAAAAGATAAGAAAACCCCCTATGTGGGCCAAGGTGATGCAGCCAGCTGACACAGGATTTTACATAGAATTTTATTTATTTATTTATTTATTTATTTATTTATTTATTTATTTATTTATTTATTTTTTGGGACAGAGTTTCTCTTTGTCTCCCAGGCTGGAGTGCAGTGGCATGATTTCAGCTCACTGCAACCTCTTCCTGCAGGGTTCAAGCAATTCTTGTGTCTCAACCTCCTGAGTAGCTGGGACTACAGGCACGCACCACCACACCAGGCTGATTATTTTGTATTTTAATAGAGATGGGGTTTTACCATGTTGCCCAGGCTGGTCTCGAACTCCTGAGCTCAGGCAATCTGCCTGTCTTGGCCTCCCAAAGTGCTAGCATTACAGGCGTGAGACACCGCGCCCGGCCTTGGATTTTACATAGAATTTAAAGAGCTCATGATCCCCTTGAAGTTCTTTCATCATCTTCCCAGACATACAAGAAGGCTATTTAAGAACATCTGGGTTAGAGGTTCTGTGTGGTCCTTGAATCAGGGTGTAAGAAATGGACAGGACCTCAGAGTTCAATGAATATAATCCTCATCAAGTCAGATTTTACAGACTCAGTCAATGAGGCCCAGACAGTTTTCATGGCTGACTCATAGCATAGCTCTTGGAGACCTATATCTTGGTTTTCTGAATCCCAGTTCTCACACAGTGTTGTGTTAATATACTGTGTTTAAAAGAAATGTAAAGAAGGAGAGAGGAACTGTGGAGAGATGCCGAGACCAGCTCAGTCAGGGAGACCCTAACCCAGCGGCGCTAGAGGAATTAAAGAAACACACACAGAAATATAGAGGTCTGAAGTGGGAAATCAGGGGTCTCACAGCCTTCAGAGCTGAGATCCCTGAACAGAGATTTACCCACATATTAATTAACAGCAAACCAGTCATTAGCACTGTTCCTATAGATATTAAATTAACTAAAAGTATCCCTTATGGGAAACGAAGGGATGGGCCAAATTAAAGAAATATGTTGGGCTAGTTAACTGAAGCAGGAACATGCCCTTAAGGCATAAATCGCTCATGCTATTGTTTGTGGCTTAAGAATGCCTTCAAGTGGTTTTCCACCCTGGGCAGGCCAGGTGTTCTTTGCCCTCATTCCTGTGAACCCACAACCCTCCAGCTTGGGCGTTAGGACCATTATGAACATGTCACAGTGCTGCAGAGATTTTATGGCCAGTTTTGGGGCCAGTTTATGGCCAGATTTTGGGGGGCTTGCTCCCAACAGAGAGACTGGCTGAGGGCAAAAAAAGCAATAGTTATTCCTAGGATGTATAGGTTGGCTATTACTCAGCTTCTTTTTTGTGTTCAGCATAGATTGGTTTTCTAGCTTCAACCCAAAGAGACCAAGCCTGAAGCTCTCTTCTAGCTCCTTACTTTAGATCTGTGACTAACTCCTGATGGATTGTCTGAGTGAGATCTGTGGAGAGGCAGATAGTGGGGCTTGGGCACATCATGAGTTCTAAATGGCTGATGTCATTACAAAAACCATAAGCAAGAAAGAATCTACTGTTTCCAGGAAGTGGGGCGAAAAGTTTCTAAGGAGAAAGTATGAGTCTTGAAAAAGGAAGGTAAGGGTTATGCAGCAAAGAAGAGGTTATTGGGTGTTCCCTGTAGGCTGGGGGTGGGAGAGGGGTGCACAGCAGAGCGGGGTGTCAGTGAGGCATGCTCAGAGATCATTTTTGTTTTTGTTTTTTGACCAAAGAAATGCTCAATTTTTTTTTAGTTTTAAAATTTTTAAATTTTACTTTTTTGATCAGTGAAATGAGAGATGGTTTTGGGGATGCCTGGGAGCCATCTAAGAGGTTTAGTAATCTGGAAATTATCAAAGTAAGATTTGCATTTCAGATAGATGCTTTTACATGGAATACAGATCTTTAGACTTTTTTTCAGTTAAGTGTTAGAGTGCAGTTGTCCAGATTATGAATCATTCATTCATTCATTGATCCAACTTTATGAAGCTCATAATATAAGCCAGGCACTGATCTAGAGAAGAAAAAATAGTCTAAAGCAGCACAGTGACAATGGAGTGGGAGTTATATAACCAACAGTACATGCTGAGGAGACAGATTTGAGAAATACTTAGGAGTTAAAAATCAGTAGGACCTGATGACTAATGAGGGCAATGGGGAGTGGAATGAAAAGAGTAAGGATATTGACAGATACTTGAAACAAATATGTCCAATATTTTAGAATTATATAATAAATTTAAAGGAATTTTCTGTCAGGAGGCCCAGAAAGATTAAAACCCAAATGTTAATACATAAAGATCAAAAAGCCTTCATTTCCAACATCTTTGAACGAAGAGACTACTTTGGACTTTGTTATTTCTCCAAGGCAGAGATACTGACCTGCCCAAGGGAGGTAATTATATCATCTACCAAATTGTAGGTTTAACCAAGAGAGGTTGAAATAAAAAGTACAAAAGTCTTGCTGGGCCTCTCTCAAGGGCCTCATGGTAAGCCATTCCTACCAGAATTCTAATTTTGTCAAAATGGCGTTGCTTTCATGTAATTTTAGAATAAGCTTTTAAAAACTGAGAGCAGCAAGAACAGCAAGTGAACACAGATGGGCTGGGGGCAGAGTGAATTGGGTAAAGTTTACAAGAAAAAAGAAGAGGGGATTTTACTAATGCTACTTTCAAAGGCAAAAGACCTAGTCAAAGCACCTATTTTTGCTTTCTTAATTCCTTATCTACTACTACAAATAAAGAGCAGCAAAATTAAAAGGAGAAAAAAAAGCTATGCATTGTAAATGCCTTTAAAGACACCTTCTTAGTAGTTCACTGTGTTGTATACATCATAATGTCTTGCTGGGCAGGCTGCCCATCTCACCTTCTAATCTCACAGTTCTGTGACATGAAAAGTGAAATGTAATATTTACAATCCTGGGAATGAATTAATCCCTGGCAAAATAGAAGGATTTGATTTTCTCATCTGCTCACATCTAGCTGGCTTAGTACCTAAGCAGGGTACCAGGGATCTGTTTCTACTGTTTCTACAGGGCAGGGAACTAGAATCAGGTCCTGAAGCTAAATGCCTGACATGTCTCAGACAAGCAAAGACTGATAGAATTCATCACCACTAGACCAGCCTTACAAGAAATGCTAAAGGGAGTCCCACATCTGGAAGTGAAATGATAATTACTCTCATGAAAACACAAAAAAGTATAAAACTCACTGGTAGAGCACATACACAAAGGAGAAAGAGAAAAGAATCAAACTTTATCACTATAGAAAACCACCAAATTACAAGGATGAACAATAAGAGGGGAAGAAAGGAACAAAGGATATATTTTTAAAAAATTAACAACATGACAAGTCCTCACCTATCGATAATAATCTTGAATGTAAACTGATTAAATTTCCCCCTTTAAAATATATAGACTGGTTGAATGGATTAAAAAACATGGCCCAACTATAGGTTGCCTACAAGAAACTCACTTGATCTGTAAAGACACACATAGTCTGAAAGAGTGGAAAAAGATATTCCATGCAAACAGAAACCAAAAGCAAGCAGGGTAGCTATACTCGTATCAGATGAAACAGACTTTAAGTCAGAAATGATTAAAAAGAGACAAAGGTGGTTATATAATGATAAAGGTATCAATTCAGCAAGAGTACGTAACAATTCTAAATATCTATGCACCCAACACTGGACCACCGAGATATATAATATAAACCAAATATTATTAGATCTAAAGGGAGACATAGACTCCAATACAATAGCTGGGGAATTCAACACCCCATTCTCAGCACTGAAGAGATTGTCTAGATAGAAAATCAACAACAAAACACGAGATTTATACTGCACTTTAGGCTGGATGCAGTGGCACACACTTGTAGTCCCAGTACCTTGGGAGGCTGAGGCAGGCAGATCCCTTGAGGCCAGGAGTTTGAGACCAGCCTGGCCAACATGGTAAAACCCTGTTTCTACTAAAAATACAAAAATTAGCTGAGTGTGGTGGCAGGCATCTGTAATCCCAGCTACTTGGGAGGCTGAGGCATGAGAATTGCTTAAACCTGGGAGGTGGAGGTTGCAGTGAGTCAAGATCATGCTACTGCACTCCAGCCTGGGCAACAGAGTGAGACTCTATCTCAAAAAAACAAAAAACCAACTGCATTTTAGACTAACAAAGAGACATTTACAGAACATTTCATCCAACAGATGCAGAAAACACCTTCTTTCTTCAGCACAAGAAACATTCTCCAGAATAGACCATATGTTAGGCCACAAAAGAAGTCTCAACAAATTTAAAATAATTGAAATTATATCGAGTATCCTTCCTGACCAAAATGGAATAAAACTAGAAGTGAACAACAAGGTGAACTTTTGAAATTTTACAAATACATGGAAATAAAACAATATGCTCCTGAATAATCAATGAAGAAAATTTTAAATTTTATTTTCTTTCCTTTTCTTTTATTTTATTTCTCTCTTTTTTTTTTCCAAGAAGGATCTTGCCATGTTGCCCAGGCTGGTCTTGAATTCCTGATCTCAGGTGATCCTCCTGCCTCGACCTCCCAAAGTGCTGGGATTACAGACATGAGCCGCTGCACACAGTCTAACGGTTGTTTAATGGATACCAAAGTACAGCTAGATATGGAAAATAAGTTCTAGTGCTCTAAAGCACTATAGGGTGACTGTAATTAACAATAATTTATTGTATATTTTCAAATAGCTAGAACAGCAGATTTTGAACCTCCCAACACAAAGAAATAATAAATGTTTGAGGTGATGGATATACTAATCACCCTTATTTGATCCTTATACATTGTAAACATGTATCAAAATATCAAAATGTACCCTGTAAATATGTATTAGGTATCAATTAAATATGTATTAGGTATCAAGTATTAGGCATCAATTAAAAATAATAACAGCTGAGGCCAGGTACAGTGGCTCATGCTTGTAATCCCAGCACTTTAGGAGGCCAAAGTGGGTGGATCACCTAAAGTCAGAAGTTCGAAACCAGCCTGGCCAACATGGTAAAACCCCGTCTCTACTAAAAATACAAAAATTAGCTGGGCATCGTGGCAGGCATCTGTAATCCCAGCTACTCGGGATGCTAAGGCAGTAGAATTGCTTGAACCTAGGAGGAGGAGGTTGCAGTGAGCTGAGGTTGTGCCATTGCACTCCAGCCTAGGCAACAAGAGCAAAACTCCATCTCAAAATAATAATAACAATAATAATAATAATAACAACAACAGCTGGACACAGTGGCTCATGCCTGTAATTCCAGCACTTTAGGAGACCAAAGTGGGAGGATTGCTTGAGCTCGGGAGTTGAAGAACTGCCTAGGCAACACAATGAGACCCCATCTCAAAAAACAATAATAATAATAATAAATAAGCAAATGTCTGACATAGCAGCCCAAGGATCTGGCACCAGAGTGTTCTCTGTCTCTGGCATCCATTATCTCTATTGCTGTCCTTTCTGGGAAACAGCTTTCAGGAGTTCTATTTCTGGGAAATTACAGGGACAGCCCTGACAATAATAAACATCAAAAACACATGCCAGAGGGCCTCAAATGCCCTGAAAACAGAGGGTGCTCCCATCCTATGGAGCAGCAAATGCTTTATCGGGTTTTTTTTTTTTCTTAAGTAGCTAAGAACAATTGCTCTGAAGACGCAAAGCTAAACTAACTGCTAACATCCAAACACAGCCTGACAGTGTAGCTGCAAACTTTGCTCCTGATCCATGGGTAAAAGGAGCTCTCAGCTTTGCAGAAGCCTTATGTTGGTGCCGCCTGCCATGGGACAGAAAAGAAGCACCTGTGAGCAAGAGCAATGCACTCAGTATACCACTGCTGACTCCTAAGTGCCCAGAATTTCATCTAGAGAAGTAGCTTTAGAAGTTAGGTGATGAATTCTATTCATTTATTAAAATATAAATATAATATATATATATATAAATGTATATGTTATATATATATATATAAATGTATATGTTTTATATATATATATATATATATATATATTTTTTTTTTAGGCAGAGTCTTGCTCTGTTGCCTAGGCTGGAGTGCAGTGGTGTGATCTCGGCTCACGGCAACTTCCGCCTCCTGGGTTCGAGCGATTCTTCTGCCTCAGCTCCTTGAGTAGCTGTGATTACAGTCATCCACCACCACACCCGGCTAACCTTTGTGTTTTTAGTAGAGATGGGATTTCACCATGTTGGCCAGGCTGGTCTTGAACTCTTGACCTCAAGTGATCCACCTGCCTTTGCCTCCCAAAATGTTGGGATTACAGGGGTGAGCCACCGTGTCCAGCCATTTCTTTTCTCAAACAGAAGAGCAAAGATGAGGGAGTCTTCCAGCCTAACAGCACACCAAGGATATTATCTGCCTGCATTAGGAGCCCCCAGGGTACACAGGATGGCAGGAACTTCCAATGGGGTGAATGAGAGTGACTTGGAATTACTT
Organism: Homo sapiens; assembly: GCF_000001405.40. Classification (NCBI taxonomy): domain Eukaryota; kingdom Metazoa; phylum Chordata; class Mammalia; order Primates; family Hominidae; genus Homo; species Homo sapiens. Next base: position 34,222,867 of record NC_000012.12, on the reverse strand, counting down.
GGTGTGATCTCTTTGGATGCTTCTGATACCTCCGTGCTTCCTGAAGCTTTTCCACTGGGCTTGGGAAAAGGAGAACCCTTTAATATTTAGTAGGGCAGAGAAAGAAGGAGAATGGAGAAGCCACGTAACACATTCTTCGGTGTTTTACTGGCTGAAAGGGCTGCAGATATTTTACATGCCCCTCAAATTGTCAACAGGCCAGGCACGGTGAATGACACCTGTAATCCCAGCACATTGAAAGGCTGAGGTGGATGGATCACTTGAGATCAGGAGTTCGAGATCAGCCTGGGCAGATGGCGAAACCCCATCTCTACTGAAAATACAAAAATTAGCTGTGCTTGGTGGTGCGCACCTGTAGTCCCAGCTAATTGGGAGGCTGAGACAAGAGGATGACTTGAACCTGTGAGGCAGAGGCTGCAGTGAGCCGAGATTGCACCACTGCACTCCAGCCCGGTGATGGAGTGAGACTCTGTCTAAAAAAAACCCCCCAAACCCAAAATTGCCAACAGGAAGAAGGCAGAAGCAAAACAGGTGCTCATGGCTGCCAGAGATTTGTGGGCCCTGCCTGGAGTAGAAGTCTAAATGCTGGCTCTGCATTGAAGACATGAGGGAATTTCTTTGCCTTGCTCTTGCCCCAGCTCCCTTTAACTGCATACCACGGTACCTCTTTCCTTTCTAGGTGATAATGCCCCATCCATAAGCAGGTTACTAACAAAAAACTCCTCTCCAAACACCTACAGGGGGAAGGTCCCCTTTTACTGAGCACCATGGCTACAATTTTAACAGTTACTGCAAAATAAAAGTTGCTACATTCTCATAATGATGGGTTTTCCCATAACCTGAAAAATTATTCACCGAGTGTCTGTAGCCAGGATGAAAAACACCCTTAAAGTTTAGATATGCATCAGTATTTCCCTCAAGAATAGCACAGGTTAAAGCTTTTATAAAGAGAAAAAAAAATAAGGAGTTGAAAAACATATAAATATAAATAAATAGCCACAAAAAGGGGAAGTTAGAGAGAGACTATGAAAACATCTTAGTCTTGAGGAAACATACAATCTGAGAAGCGATTCTGCAGGACTTGGCTGAAAGTCAATGGGAGGCTGATCAAATGAAGTGATAGAAGTCATGTAATTTGTCATATTAAGCATCTGCAACAAACCCACGTAGAATCCAAGGAATGTAGGTGATCTGACAAAAGGCCTCATGTTTAAAATTTGCCCTAAGCTTCCCCAAATCCACCAAAAATTTCCCCGTATGAGCCACCTTTTCAGATACAGTTTAGCTATCTGTTCTTGTGACACTAGGTTCATTTAAAGAGTTCTTGGGAGCCACGTGGGGTGGCTCACGCCCATAATCCCAGCACTTTGGGAGGCCATGCACAGCAGGTGGATCACTTGAGGTCAGGAGTTCAAGACCAGCCTGGCCAACATGGTGAAACCCCGTCTCTACTAAAAATGCAAAAATTAGCAGGGCGTGCTGCCATCAGCCTGTAATTCTAGTTACTCAGGAGGCTGAGGCGGGAGGATTGTTTGACTCTGGGAGGCAGAGGTTGCAGTGAGCTGAGATCACGCCACTGCACTCCAGCAGCCTGGTTGACAGAGCGAGACTGCCAAAAAAAAAAAAAGTTATTGGGGCTGGGTGCAGTGGCTCACGCCTGTAATCCTAGCACTTTGGGAGGCTAAGGTGGAAGGATGGTTTGAGGTGGGGAGTTTGAGACCAGCCTGGGCAACATAGTGAGACATCATCTCTGCCAAAAAAGAAAAAAAATCCATGTTGAGGCATTTTGTGTAAAAATAGAAAAAATTTCCTGGGCGTAGTGGTGTGCACCTGTAATCCTAGCTACTTGGGAGGCTGAGCCTGGAGGGTTGCTTGAGCTCCAGGAGTTTGATGCTGCAGTGAGCTATGATTGTGCCACTGTGTTCCAGCCTGGGCAATAGAAGGAGACCCTGTTTCAAAAAAAAAAAAAAGAAAAAAAGGCTGGACACACTGGCTCACGTCTGTGATCCCAGCACTTTAGGAAGCCAAGGCAGGTGGATCACCTGAGGTCAGGAGTTCGAGAACAGCCTGACCAACATGGTGAAACCCTGTCTCTAGTAAAAATACAAAATTAGCCAGGCATGGTGGCACATGCCTGTAATCCCAGCTACTTGGGAGGCCCAGGCAGGAGAATCACTTGAACCTGGGAGGTGGAGGTTGCAGTGAGCTGAGATTGGGCCATTGCACTCCAGCCTAGGCAACAAGAGCAAAACTCTGTCTCAAAAGAAAAAAATCTCTCTTTTTTTTACTGTTACAATGACAATAATAGAGGCTTTTCTCTCCAGGAGCTCTAAGTGAAATTAATGAGAATTCTCATGACCCTAGAAAGAGAGATTTAAAAAACACATAGCGCAGGTGTGGCGGCTCACACCTGTAATCCCAGCACTTTGGGAGGCTAAGGCGGGTGGATCCCTTGAGGTCAGGAGATCAAGACCAGCCTGGCCAACATGGTGAAACCCCAGTTCTACTAAAAATACAAAAATTAGCTGGGCTTGGTGGCACGCTTGCCTTTAGTCCCAGGTACTCGAGGGGCAGAAGCAGGAGAATCACTTGAACCCGGGAGATGGAGGCTGCCGCAGAGAGCTGATATCAAGCCACTGCACTCCAGCCTGGGCAACAGAGCCCATATAATTATTTGTATCTTTTTTTTTTTTTTTTGAGAGGTACTTTCACTCTTGTTGTCCAGGCTGGAGTGCAATGGCGCGATCTCGGCTGGCTGCAACCTCCGCCTCTCGGATTCAAGCGATTCTCCCACCTCAGCCTCCTGGGTAGCTGGGATTACAGGCACCCGCCATCATGCCTGGCTAATTTTTGTATTTTTGTAGAGACAGGATTTCACCATGTTGGCCAAGCTGATCTTGAACTCCTGATCTCAGGTGATCCTCCCTCCTCAGCCTCCCAAAGTGCTGGGATTACAGGCGTGATCCACCGCGTCTGGAGAGTTCTCTTTTCTTTGCGAAGGGCAAGGCGGACTAGAATGGATTCACCCAACAGCGGTGCGCATGCCCTAAAAGCATTATGGTTAGATCCATGTCAGACAGGTTAGTTTTACTGTTTGCGTTCCCCTTGTGTTGTTGCCCATGTGTTGCTACCATGGTAATCCTGCTCAGTACGAGAGGAACCGCAGGTTCAGACATTTTGTGTATGTGCTTGGCTTTGTTGGCCTTGGATAGGCGGTCCTCTGCCGTCCCCTCCGGCGGGCCGCTCTGCCTCAGGAGGGGCATGTCCCGCCATGCGCCGGGAACCAGGATCCGGTGCAGAGAGCCCCTCATCGTAGGAAATGGGCTGCTGCCAGAAGGGCGGTCACCCCCTGACCCATCACATAACGTGTTTTTGGGGAACCGGATGCTAAACTATTTGTAGACATCCTGCTTCTGGGTCAGGGTTTTCTATGGAGCAGAGCAGCTCCCTCGCTGCGATCTATTGAAAGTCAAACCTCCACACAAGGTTCCCTGCACCCGTGCGCGGGGGACCTGGTGATGTGGCGTGTCCTGTGTAATTCAGCCCTTGACGTCTACCTTCCTTCCTTTCTCCTGTTATACCCGGAACCTAGTTTCCTCGCCCGCTCATGCCCACCGGACCCGGAGCCCCGAAGCACGCAGCAGGTGTCCCTCCCGAGAGACCACTGGTGCCCGCTGTGTCTTCGGGAGGCGCCCGTCCCCATCTGCGGGCTTTCCAAGGTGCTGTGCTGGGGTTTGCCGAGGTAGGGGTGTCGCCCATGCTCGTCGTTCCCTCTCCAATTCCGCCTCCTTCCTGCACCCCGCTTTGACCTCCTTCAGGGGCTGGGATCGGATTTATCGGGCCTGGTGAGAATGGCTGAGGCGTGGGTGTCAGAGGGTGTGCCCCTGTGGTTCCTGTCCGAGTAGTGTTCACGCATGCCCAGTGGTGGCCACTGGGGTCACGGCCCCTCTACCCGCCCCAGGCGCGCGGGAATGGGACAGGAGCCAGTCACTGCCTTTCTGTCTTTCCTCCTCTCTCCGCAGCCCGGGTCAACCAGCCGACGGTGGCGGAACGGCGGGCAGGTCGGCGGAGTTAGATGGCCGCAAAGGTGGGCAGGCTCGGTGTGATAAGGTTCCAACTGGGTCTGATCGCTTCCGTCCGCGAGCGCCGGGTCCACCAAATGTCGGCGGCGAGCGCTGGCTTTGATGGTTAACTTGGGATTTCTAAGGTAGAACAGATCTCTCTGGTCAGCAGCACTACCACCTGCATCCACTAGATGTCGTTCTCTCACTACGTCGTTTCTTCCTCTCCAATTGTTTCCACAGTACTTTCAGTTGTCCTTCATTTTGTTTTTCTTTTTTCTTTTATGTTTCTTATTCCTCTTTTTACACACTGAAGCTGCTGTTGTTTTACCTTTATTTTTCTTTTTTGAGAAAGGTTGGAGTATGAGAATGTAATCTCGGCTCACCGCAGCCTCGACCTTCCTGGGCTCCCTCAGGTGATCTTGCTATCTCAACCTTCCAAGTGGCTGAGACTGCAGGAATTGCTTGATTCTGGGATGTCGAAGCTGCAGTGAGCCATGATCACGCCATTGGCCTCAAGCCTGAGTGACAGAGAAAGACCCTGTTTCAGAAAGTAAGAGAGACAGGTTAAAGAAATAACTCCTTGAAATTATTGCTATTAATTGTGATCTAAATTATCTTTTATATTTTTATATTTTTCACTCCTACTAGTTTATTATTATTGTTGTTGTTAGTATTTCTTTGTATTATTGTTTGTTATTATTGTTATTGTTTTTATTATTTAGTTATTTAGAGATGGAGTCTTGCTCCATCACCCAGACTGCAGTGCAGTGGCACGACCATGGCTGACTGTAGCCTCAAATTCCCGGATTCAAGTTCGAGACCAACCTGGGCAATATGGCAAAACGCCATGTCTACTAAAATCTGTCACTGTATACCCCCAGGGCCGTTGGATATGGCAGGTGCAAGTTCGGAGGCTGAGGCAGGCAGTTCGCTAGAGTTCGGGAGTTCGAGACGAGCCTGGGCAACAGGCTGCAGTACATTTGCCTGACCAAGGCCCACCGCAGCCTCCACCTCCCGAGCCCAAGAGATGCTCCCACCTCAGGCTCCAAAGGAACTGGGGCTACAGGCGCCTGCCATCACACCCAGCTAACTTTTTAATTTTTTTTTTTTTTTTTAAGTAGAGACGTGGTCTCACTGTGTTGCCAGGGCTGGTCTCAAACTGCTGGACTCAAGCGATTCTTCCACCTCAGCCTCCCAAAGTGTTGGGAGTATAGGCATAAGCCATGTTGTGCTGCCTTGTTTTTTATTTCCTTCATCTTTCTTTTTTTCTTTCACTTTCTTTCCTTTTCTTTCTTTTCTTTTTCTTCTCTCTCTTTTTCTTCCTCCCTTTTTTCTCATTTCTCATTCTCTTCTTCTGTTTCTCTGCCTTTCTATTTTCTTTTTCATCTTTCTTCCCTTTACATCTCTGTCTCTCTTGATCTTTTCTGCTCTCTCTCTTTTCTCAATTTGTTTCCTCCCATCCCTCTGTCTGTCCGTCTTTGTGTGGATTCTGGAAGAATCTCCTTATTCTGTATCCCCTGTGTATGTATCACAAGCCTCTAAGACTTTCGCTTTGTTGTTTTTCCTCCTTGTTGCATAAAATGTATTCACTCTTCTTTTATTTCAGTATTCTGTGGACAGTCGAGGGCTGGAAAAAAAACAGAAACATGAATTTGATTGGTTTCACAAGAGACATGGCAGACCAAAGAACATACGATGAGTACTTTGCTAAATGCCCTGTTTATTCTCCCAACCGGGCTCATAAAAGTACGGACACATTTGGTGGGTTGAGAGATCTCTATGTAGTCGTGACCCTGTAATTATACTTGACGAGAGCGGTGATGACAGACAGGCGGCACAGAAATCTGCCCTTCTTTGGTGCCAATTGAGCATGGTGACAACAGATTAAAAATGGCCTATGTCTCAAGTTGAAGGTCCTGTTTTTCTGCTCTGGTCTTTAGGAATGAGTGGAGCCTTCCCGTGCTCTGCCATTTTCTTGCATTTTTCTTTTCACATACATTCATTCACTTATTTATTAATTAATTTATTTTAAATAGAGTCTCGTTCTGTAGCCCAGGCTTTGGGGTGGTATCAGCTGGCTGCAATCTCCGCCGCCCTCGTTCCAGCGATTCTTCTGCCTCAGCCTCCCGAGTAGCTGGGATTACAGGCACATGCCACCCTACTCAGCTAACTTTTGTTTTTTCAGTAAAGACAGTGTTTCACCATGTTGCCCAGGCTGGTCTTGAACTCCTGACCTTCAGGGATCTGCCCCTTCCACCCCCGGCCTCCCAAAGTGCTGGGATAACAGGTGTGAGTCACCGCGCCCAGCCTAAATTGCAATCTTTCAAAATAAATAAGTTTTTAAAAAATAAATAGGACATCACCTAGTGGCCAGTGTTATTGAAAGTCGAGGTGGCACTGAGGGAGGTCTGGCCAACTTCACAGAGCCTGGGGCAACTGCTCTCTCTCCTTCCCTTCTGGAGGCCCCTCCGTCTCTCCCTCACTGCCTAGGGAACTTCCACCCTGGTGGGGCAACTGTTGTTCTTTTACCCCCTGGGTAAATGGTGTCTCGTTCTGTCTCCCAGGCTGTGGCATGGTCTTGGCTGGCTGCAATCTCCGCCTCTCTGGTTCCAGCGATTCTCCTGCCTCAGCCTCCTGAGTAGCTGAAATTACAGGCGCGTGCCACCCTACCCAGCTAACTTTTGTTTTATTAGTAGAGACAGGGCTTCACCATGTTGGCGGCCAGGCTGATCTCAAACCCCTGACTTCGTGATCCACCAGCCTCAGCCTCCCAAAGTGCTGGGATGACAGTGGTGAGCCACCGCGCCAGGCCACCGTCATTGGTTTTAACTGGAGATTCTAGATTTGAGGCACACCTCATTCTATGCCACAGAATGTCTTCTTTATCCTGCCGTCTCAGGAAAGCCGGGCCCCTTGTGATTCATTTCAAACCGAGAGTCACCTCATGTTTGGAAAACAGATCTGCTCCCAAGTTCAGTGGAGGGATGTGGCATGTAGGATGAGGGACTGTTCCTTCTGATTTGGTCTGCATGGTGGGGCCTAGGACTGGAGCTCACTGAGGATCGATGGCTCCCTCTACCTTGGGTTCTATTGTCCCCACTCGAGAACACGGGCCTTGGCAGATCCTGGCCCTTCCTGGCCATTAAGGTGCTGTCAGAAACCCCATCCCGAGCTCGAATGCCCCGAATGACTGTGGCCCACGCCTCTCCAGAAACATTTGAAATCTATCCTCTACGTGTGGCCACCTAAAACCACTGGAGCGCACGACACTCAGCTGCCATCCACCTCACTGCTTTCGGGAGAGAATGCTGAAAATCTCTTGCTAATTCTCTCTTGACTCGAGTTCTTCAAGGGCGTGTGGTCAGGACCTAGTGAGACCAGATGTATTAGGTCAGGCCGGGTGCGATGGCTCATGCCTGCAACCCCAACCCTTAGGGAGGCTGAGGTGGTAGGATCGCTTGAGCCCAGGAGCTCAGACCAGCCTTGGACAACATGGCCAAAACCCGAGTTGCTTGCCTGTGGTCTCAGCTACTCAGGAGGCTGAAGTGGGAGAATCACCTAACCCTGGGGTGGTTGAGGCTGCAGTGAGCTGTGATGGTGTCACTGCACTCCAGCCTGGGTGACAGACAGAGTGAGACACTGTCACAAACAGATGGACAGACAGACAACAGCTATATTATGTCCTTCTCAGGGTAGGAAGCAAAAATAACAGAATACAGCATTTAAGATTTTTTTTTTAATTTTAAATTTCAATCTACTTATTTATTAATTTTGAGTCCAGATTATGAAATCAGCTAATTTTTGTATTTTCGTAGAGACAAAGTTTCACCATGTTGCCAAGCCTGGTCTCAATTGCCTGGGATCGAGGGATCCACCCATCCTCGGGCTCCCAAAGTGCGAGGATGACAGGCATGAGCCACTGCTCCTGACAGTGTTGTTTTTTTCTTCATTTTTTAATCGCTTGTCTTTCCAGGAGTTTCACGGCAGAGTGTTTGGCTGGCTTGTTTAAATTCATTCTGAATAGAAATTGAAGGTGTCAACTTCTGGCCTCATGGACTCTGAGCTGACGAGTCCCCTGGTCTGTCTATCACGGGACTGTATATGTAAGAAGTAAAAAAGTCGTAACGTTTAAAATAAATAATTTTGTTGTACAGAAATAAACAGATGCACTCAAAACACAGAAACGATTTTTTAAAAAGTTATCTTAGTCCTGGTGGGTGTGCCAGTGATTCTTTTAGGTTTGGAGCTTGACTGAGAGAATTTCCAGTCGGTCTCTGGATGGAATTTCCAGATGATCCGATGGGTGAGGACTTAGGCTGTGTCTTCCAGGGACCATGGTCAATTAGTTGTGGGGACCACCTGGGAGGGTGCAGCCACCCACTGTGATTTGGGGGCCACTATCCTTCCCCTTCCCACTCCCCCTCCAGGTGATCCCAATTAATTCCGGGATGACACTCTCATTGGCAGACATCGGGCATCACCTAGCAGCAACTGTTACTCTGAAAACTGAGGCCTCAAGGGGAAGGAAGCTCATGGTGCCTGCGCACAGCCCAGGGCAACTGTGTCTTCTCCACCACGCCCACCACCCGCCCACACCTCCAAGTTCCTCCCTCCCTTGTTGCCTGAGGAATTGCCACCCTGATGACTGGGTCTGGTTGTTCTTTGATCACTTAAACAAAAAATAAATATGCCGGACACGATGGTTTACACCTGTAATCCCAGCACTTTGGGAGGCAGAGGCGGGCGGATCATGAGGTCAGGAGTTCAAGTCCAGCCTGGCCAGTATGGTGAAAACTCATCTCTAATAAAAATACAAAAAATTAGCCAGGCATGGTGGTATGCACCTGTAAGTCCAGCTACTCGGGAGGCTGAGGCAGGAGAATTGCTTGAACCCGGGAGGTGAAAGTTGCAGTGAGCTGAGATCGCGACATTGCACTCCAGCCTGGACAACAGAGTGAGACTCCGTCTCAAAAAAAAAAAAAAAAAAAGGCCAGGTGCCGTGGCTCATGGCTGTAAGCCTGTAATCCTAGCACTTACGGAGGCCAATGCAGGTGAATCACCTGAGGTTGGGAGTTTGAGACCAGCCTGACCAACATGGAGAAACCCTGTCTCTACTAAAAATACCAAGTTAGCTGGGTGTGGTGGCACTTGCCTGTAATCCCAGCTACTCGGGAGACCAAGGAAGGAGAATTATTCGAACTCAGGAGACAGAGGTTGCGGTGAGCCAAGATTGCACCATTGCACTCCAGCCTGGGCAACAAGAGCAAAACTCCGTATCCAAAAAAAAATAAATAAATAATAATAATACAAATAAATGAGTTTCCAGGAAAAAGAGAATCAAAAAACCCACAGTGACATAAACATACGCCTCTGTCCTTTTGAGGCAGTAATGATGCTACGAAGTGATCCACCCATCTCAGCCTCCCAAGGTGCTGAGATTACAGGCGTGAGCCACTGTGCCTGGCTATGTGTCATATCTATGTGTACTTTTTAAATTTTAATTTAATTTTTGTATGTTTTGAGACAGACTGTCACTGTGTCAACCAGGCTGGAGCACAGTGGCGCGCTTACAGCTCACTGCAACCTCCACTTCCCAGGTTCAAGCGATTTTCCTGCCTTAGCCTCCTGAATAGCTGAGACTATTGGCACACGCCACCGCACCTGGCTAATTTTTGTATTTTTAGTAGAGACAGGGTTTCGCCATGGTTGCCAGGCTGGTCTCCAACTCCTGACCTCAAGTGATCCACCCGTCTCAGCCTCCCAAAGTGCTGAGATTACAGGCATGAGCCACTGCGCCCAGCTATATGTAATTTCTTAACTCACCTCATTTCTTGACTGGGGACCATGGGCATTTGGGCCACTTTCTCATGGAACTTACTTGTGCTTCACGATCTGTTAGGACCCAATCAGGTCCACAGCACTTCCATGACATGCTAGAGTGTTGCTGTGCACACCCACTTAACATCCAGTGTGTGATGAGCGGCTCAGCTCACACGGTAACTTCGTGGCCCCACAGTTGGGCATTTGGTTTCTACTAACAGTCAGAGGCTAGCTGAGAGAGCCTATTGCTCCAAAGAAGAATGGTTATCTGCAGATAATGGCAGGGCCTTGCTCTGAAATCCTCAGGGCCTTCACTGTTATTCGGAATAGCCTGTATCTCAAACGGATGGTCCTGTTTTTCTGCTCTAGTCTTTAGGAACGAGTGGAGCCTTCCCAGGCTCCACCACCTTCTTACATTTTTTTTACATTCATTTATTCATTCATTCATGTATTTTTTAGAGAGGGGTTCTCCCTGTGTCACCCAGGCTGGAGTGGAGTGATAGGATCATAGCTCACTGCGACCTTGAATTGCTGGGCTTAAAGCGATCTTCCTCTGCCTCAGCCTCCCGAGTAGCTGGGCATACAGGCACGGGGGTGAACCACAACACAGCACAATACCGGGTTAATTATCTTCCTTCTTTTTTATTGTTTTCTTGTTTCTTTTCTGAGACAAGGTCTCCCTCTGTCACCCGGGCTGGAGTGTAATTGTTCCCGGACCAAACTGAAGGTCGGGCTGCTTATTCTCGCGGCCTGATAACGAGATGCAGATGAACTAAAAAAGGAGGCAGTTTTTATTTCTGTGATCACTTACAGAGAGAAGGCCTAAAAATGTCGCCAGACTGACTCAAAATTACAAAGGTTTATAGAGCTTATATACCTTCTAAAGTGTAAAAGACATCTAAAGATGGAAGCGATTGACTTTTTTTTTTTTTTTTTTTTTTTTTTTTTTTTTTTTGAGACAGTCTTCCTCTGTTGCCCAGGCTGGAGTGCAGTGGTGAGATCTCGGGGAAAAACGTGGCCGGCCGGAGTCCTCCCACAGACGACAGTGCCTTCCCGGCAGCATCTCCGCCGGGCCCAAGAGGGTCGTGGAGTCGCTGGCTTCCTCCCAGGGTGCGTGTCGCGCCCACGCGGGGCACCCCAAAGCGGCAAGAAGGCCTTTGTGAGAAGGGAACAGGATGCCAGGTTTGAAAGAAGACCTTGAGGCGGCATGGGGCAAAACGCGGCCGGCCGGAGTCCTCCCACGGACGACAGTGCCTTCCCGGCAGCGCCTGCGCTGGGCCTGGGAGTGTCGTGCAGTCCCTGGCTTCCTCCCAGGGTGCGTGTCACGCCCACGGGGGGCACCCCAAAGCGTCAAGAAGGCCTCCGGGGGAAGGAAACATGACGCCAGGCTTGAAAGGGGACGTTGAGGCTGCAAGGGGAAAAAGCGGTGGGCCGGGGTACTCCCACGGACCACAGTGCCTTCCCGGCAGCCTCTGCGCCGAGACTGGGGGGGTGAGCAGCACCGGATAAAAGCAGCGAGGCTGGGGTCCTTCCATGGAGGACAGTGCCTTCCAGCAGCCCCTGCGCTGGGCCCGGGGGTGTCGTGGAGTCCCTGGCTTGCACCCAGGGTGCATGTCTAGCCCATGGGGGACACCCCAAAGCGGCAAGAAGTCCCCCAGTGGAAGGGAACAGGACGCCAGACTCCAAAGGGGACGTTGAGGCAATCAGGGGAAAAAATTCCCACGGAGAACAGTGCCTTCCCAGCAGCCTCTGCCCCGGACCCAGGTGGGTCGTGGAGTCCCTGGCTTGCACCCAGGGTGCATGTCTCGCCCACGGGGGAGGACAGGCAGAGATGGAGAGAGGAATGGAGACACGCAGGGACGGAGTGATAGACGTTGTTAGGGTGGTAGGGAGGGACAGAGACAGGAAGTGAGGGACAGACAGGGAGACGGAGGAACACTGAGAGAGAGGGAGGGAGCAAGGGACAGAGGGAGGAAAGCAGAGAGAAAAAGCAGTCTTCTGCCTCCAGGAGCAACAGGACCCCCGGGCTCCTGGAAAATGTTAAGCGCCCAGTGGGAGTTAAGGGCTGGGCCGGCGGGGCACTCACTGGCTCTCCGGATCGCCAGACTGGGTTACTTCATCGCGGAGCGATTCGTATGAATTCCATCGCCCAAGGAATGGGCGATTTCTTCCAAGACCAAAGAGCCAAGACTCAGGTAGCAGCCCGTTTTTCACCCACATGTTTTACAGACTACACATCCCCACACTGAGTACTGCAACGGAGCACGAGGAGGATAGTCCCATCCACACAGGAGTCACTCAGGACGACTGAAGCGTGATTTCGGATTCCACGTTTCTTTGCCCTCTGCAAGGGGGACGGTTGCTCACCTTTCTCCGGCCCCCGAAAGCGTGATCATGTTGTCTGTTTGCTTCCCGAGCTCTGCGAGGACACAAAAACTTCCAGAGAAGCGTGGAAGACCAGCATCGTGTTGGTGCTCTGCTTTCCAGTTTCCAAAACGGCCATATTGGAGACTCCCCATGTTGCAGGAAACAGGAATCCTTCGTGGGGCCGTCATGCTGGGGACGTTTCTTTTCTCTGTGGTTTCGCTCTCGTTTTCTACATGAAAATGAACAAGATCCACATACCTGCATCTGTGAGGGTATCACAGCAACGGCGACACCCACAGGCATTGCCCCCTTCACAGAGAGAGGACCTGAAAAACTCAAGACTGTCGTGGAGGTTCTGTTCCACACTCCACCCTTCCAGGGATGTTTCTCCCTGAAGACACATGCAAGCCCAGAGAGCGGCTTCCAGTTTCCATAGAATTCCTGGAGAACCCCAGAGAGCCAGCCCCCGAAGTCCCACTTCTTTCTCGGCTCTGGCCCCACACCCACCCACACCACAGTGCCCTGGTCCCTGTGGTTTCCAGCTTCGGAAGGGCTGCTACCCCGAAGCTCCTGCTACCCTGGAGCTCACTCGCATTCATGAAGGGGTGGAACCTGTGGGTCTTTTTTTTTTTAAACTTATAAAGAAAAGAGGTTTATTTGACTCACAGTTCTACAGGCTGTACAAGAAGCATGGTGCCAGCATCTGCTGTGGACAGAAGCCTCAGGCTGCTTCCACTCATGACAGAAGGCAAAGAGGAGCCAGTGTGTCACATTGTGAGAGAGGGAGCAACAGCCTGTGAGTCTTTATAAGAGCCGCTGGCAGGGCTGGCCTCTTGGCTGGACCTGCATGCAGTGCAGAGGCCGACTGAGGTGCACGGGAGCCTGCCGGCCTCTCTCTGCTGGTGTCTGTCCAGGAAATTCTGGCCAGGTCTCACCACGATGTCTCTCCCAAAACCTTCCGACAGTTGTCTCCCTGCGGAAGCCCGAGGACGAGGACGGCGAAGGAGACTCGTTTGGACCCCGAGTGAAAGGGAGGCCCTGTGAGCGTGCTTTTAGTGGAACCTGTACCCAGGCATCGCCACCAGAGAACAGCTGGCCCAAGCCATTGGCATTCCGGAGCCCAGGGGCCAGATTTGGTTTCAGAATGAGAGATCACACCAGCTGAGGCAGCACCGACAGGAATCTTGGCCCTGGCCTAGGAAACGCAGCCCGCAAGAAGGCAGGTGAAAGCAGATCGCAGTCACCCGATCCCAGACCACCCTGCTCCTCCGAGACTTTGAGAAAGATTGCTTTCCAGGCATCACCACCCAGGAAGAACTGGCCAGAGAGACAGGCCTCCCAGAGTCCAGGAATCAGATTTGGTTTTAGCATCAGGGCCAGGCATCCAGGCCAGGGTGGCAGGGCACCCACGCACACTGGCGGCCTGTGCAACGTGGCCCCAGGCGGGTGTCACCCTCCTTCCTCGTCGGTCGCCTTCACCCCCACCGGGGCTTGGACAACAGCACTTCCCGCACCCCGCATGTCCTGGGCTCCTGGGGCTCCCCCACAGGGTGCTCTCGTGAGCCAGGCAGCAAGGACCATTGCCCTGCTCCAGCCCAGCCAGGCTGCGCAGGCAGAAGGAATCTCCCAACTGGTCCTGGCACTCTGGGATTTTGCCTACGCTGCCCTGGCTCATCCAGAAGCGGCGCCCTCCAACCCTCAGGTTCCTCGGTGGCCTTCGCACCCCAACAAATGCCAGGAGGACCAGGACCCACAGAACGGCGGCCTGCTGGGTGCTTGCTCAGTGGGACAGCTTAAACCTGCTCAAGCTGAGTCCAAAGGGTGAGGTGTGCTTGCGCCACACACATCCTACCCGAGTCCGTGGTGGAGCTGGGGCCAGGGGCCCCATGTCGCCAGGGCCACGTGGGAACCTGAAGCTGGGGCACCTCCACCTCCAGAGCCCACGCCTCCGGAAGCCTCCGCGTCACAGAAGCAGATGCAAGCCATCCAGGCGCCCTCCCAACCGCTCCAGGAGCCGGAGTGCTTGTCTGCAGTCACCTCTAGCCTGTTAGATGAGCTTCTGTCGACCCCAGAGTTTCAACAAAAGGCACAACCTTTGCTAGAAACGGAGCCGCTGCGGGAGTTGAAGGACTTGGAAAAGCCCGTGTCGCTGGAGCCACTTTTTATGGAGAAAGTATGCCGGGCTCTGCTGGAGGCATTTATGACCCGGGGTTTGGGTGGATTGGGGTCAGGTTGGTGTCCTCACTTTCGCAGTGAATATCTGGCTTGGTATGGAGAGGCGTGTCTTCTTTTCAGGCTGGCTTGTCTAGGATCCCTGAGTTCTTGGTTCCTCGAGAGACTACATACAGATGAGGGGTGTCATTCTTTCCTGAGTATTCCAAGGATTTCAGAGTCCTCCCAGGTACCAGGTGGTGGGCGGTCTCCTTCATATGTGAGGGTCCGCAGGCCAGGCTTTGGGACTAGACCAGGCAGAGGTCACATTCCTATTTGTCCAGGCGTTCTTTAGTGGTGTGGGTGGAGACCTTCTACCCATGAAACACCAGCCGTGGCTGCGGCGAGACCTGCTCTCTTTTCTGCGTCTTGCCTCCTCTGCCTCCCGGCTCCACCGTCTTTCGTCCACCGTTGCCCCACCAGCCTCCTAGACTTCACCATTGGGCAACTCCAACTAAATGTAGACCCTGAGATCTTTCACAAACCAGGTTGCTGTTCTTTCCAGGCAGGAGTGTTGGCAGGCATGAATGGGGAAAGGAAGGGAGACAGAGAGGGAGGGAGAGACCGAGGGAAGATGGAACGGATGGACGGAAGGAAGATAGAACGGATGGACGGAGGAAAAAACGGATGAACCAGAGCAACTTGGAGGGAGGGTGGGAAGAACAGAGGGAGGGAGGGATGGATAGAGGGAAGGAGGGACAAAGGGAGAAAAGGACCAAGAAACAGAGAAAGGAAGGCAGAGAGAAAAGCGTTCTTCTGCCTCCAGGACCAACAGGATCCCACACTTTGCGAATATGTTTGGCGCCCACTGTGGGCTGATGGCTGGGACCACAGCCACGTCCGCCAGTGAGGCCCTCCAGATAGCCAGCCTGGGTTTCTTCATCCTGGAGCAATTCAGAGGAATTCCGTCTTCCAAGGAATGAGCTACTTACCCAAAGAGCAATGAGCTGAGACTCGGGTGGTAGTCCGTTATTCAACCCCATGGTTCACAGATGACATATCCCCACATTGAGCCATGCAACAGAGTGGGACGTGGATGCCCCCATGCACACAGAGTCACAGGGAGACTGAAGTGTGATTTTTGGATTACACATTTCTTTGCCCTCTGCAAATGTGTCTGTTGCTCACTTCTCTCTGGCCTCTGAAATCGTCATCATGCTGACTCTTTGTTTCCTGAGCTCTGTGGGGATTTAGACACTTCCAGGGAAGCATGGAAAACCAGTGTCGTCTAGATGCAGTGTTTTCCAGTCTCCAAACAGGCCATACTGATTGGAGGCTCCCCATGTTGCAGGAAAGAATCCATTGTCAGGCCATGATGCACGGTAGTTTGTTTTCTGTGTGGCTTCGCTCTCATTTTCTACATGAAAATTAACGAGATCCACACAACTGCATGTGGAGGCTATCATGGCAACTGCAACACCCACTCTCTGGCAATAGAGTGGGCAGCCTGACCCCAGGAAAAATAGACTGATGGACATCCAGACACATCCCACCATCACCACGAGCAAACCCACCCCCTACACACAGACACACATGGGCCGACGGGTGCAGGCACACACACACACACAGAGAGAGACACACAAAGACACAGACATCTTGAAGGAGAGCAAAGGAGAGAGGGATGGAGACATAGAAACGTAGGGAGAGAAAGAAACAGCAATAGAGAGCAGGGAGGGGAGAGAGAGAGAAGGCAACAGAAAGAGCACAAGGTGGAAGGAGAATAAGAGAGAGCTGGTCAGGGAGCTAGAGAGCGAGAGAGCCTTTGAGTGGGAGCGCTCTGCTCTGGTAGACAGGGCCCCTTTGGGCAGACCAAGGTAGTGTGGAGTTTTCTTGGGCCGGGCCAGAACAGGGGTTCAAGGCCGCCCATGTGGGAGGATCAACGGAGCCCTGAGACATGTTTTTTCTTGGATTTGTTGGTTGCTTTGGGGGTGTTTTCGTAGGGTCCTCGTTTGTTGGCTCCTCTCTGTCCTCTTGGTGCAGTGGGCCCCGAGAGTTGTAGAATGCACCAGTCCTTCTGGCGGGAGCCATGGCGCCAAGCGTGCCAATGGTGCCTGAGGCCTGGGTCTCTCTCATGTCCTCGGGATTGGAGTTTACATGAAGTCCATGGCAATGGGAATCCGGGTGCACAGGGACGTTTTCCTCACAGCTGGTGAAGGCAATGTCCTTCCCTGGAAAATGCAGCCCATGCATTCTGGAGGAGGTCTTGGCTGGTGTCTGTGGGACCCTCTGCCCCTGCCCGCCCCTTCCCCAGGCTTGGATGTTTGTGGTGGCACCAGATGAGTGAATTGAATTGCCTGGGCGTTCGTGGAGCAGGAAGGCAACCAGGATGGCAGGGAACCTGGGCCTGCGCCTTCTGGGTCTGGTCCTGGCCCGCCCTGCTCTGGCTAGAGTGGGGGATCTGGTGGAGCTGCAGTGAGGTAGAAGAGGTAGGATGCTGCTGCCTGGCGGTGCTGCAGTGGCGGAGCCCCAGGAGGAAGTCTCCAGCTGTGGTGGGGGCGCAGGCAGGTGGAAAAGGGGTAGCAGAGTCAGGGGGTGGTTGGGAAGCAGGGCGACAAAAAAGGGAAAGAGGTAGGGAGCGGGAAGCCAAAAGCCTACAGCACCCGGTATTCCCAGTCAGTCTCCCTTCCAAGTACTAACCAGGCCCCACCCTGCTTAGTTTCACAGACCAGAGAAGATCAGGCGCCTTCAGGGTGGTATGGCCATAGACACCGGCAGTGATGCCTGGATGACACAAGAGCCTGGCCCAGCCACGCCTGCCTGACTCCAGGCTTCATCCCCACTCGGAGGCCGCGGGGCTCGGATCAGGGACCCCTCAGCCACTCGCCCCCTGCCGGGCTGCTCTCCCCCTCCACGCCGGAGCACTGTGGGCCGCTGCGCTGCGCTTTCCGGCCTCCAAGAGCCTCCCGCCATCGCCGGCGGCAAGGGCGTGCACTGGATCGCCGCAGCACCGCCCTGCTGTTGAGTGGGGACGCCAGAGTTTTCCATCCCCTGCTCAGACTTTGAGCTTTCCGGGAGGCCCCCTTTCCTCCGACGCTCCAGTCCTTCCCCAGTCTCCTGAGCTCCCAAGCCTCCACCACATCGGACCCACTCAGGACGGGTTGTGCTCCCAGGCGTGAGGGTCCTGGGCCCATGGTCCTGGGATCCCCTCCTGTCCTCCTCCTGGCCTTGGAGGGATTGTTTTGGTTCCTAGCTGCCCCTCCTGCAAGGCCCCCTCTTGCCCCACCCACCCAGAGCTGCCAGGGCTGCCCAGGGGGGAACAGCCGGCCTACGCCTGCGGGCCTTTTCTCTCACAATGTCCCTAAAGGGTAGCTTGTCCCGACAAGGACATGGCCCGTGGCCAAGTGAGTGGGGCGGGGGGCAGGGGGGTGTTGCTTTGCCCCGCCCTGCCACTAGAACCGGCAGCCTAATCCCAGGAGAGAGAGGCTGACTGTCAGCCAGACACACCCCACCACTACCACGTGCAAAACCACCCCACCCCCACAGACACACATGGGTGCACGCGTGCGGGCACACAGACACCACACACACAAAGATACAGACAGCTTGAAGGAGAGCAAGGGAAAGAGGGATGGAGAGAGACAAACAGCAATAGAGAGAGAGACAGAGACAGAGACAGAAAGAGCACGAGATGGAGGGGGAAGAAGAGAAATACAGGGGTGAGAGAGCTAGAGAGCCAGAGCAATAGAGCCTGAGAAAGGCCAGTGCTCTGCTCTGGTAGACAGGGCTCTTTCGAGCAGGCTGGGGTAAGGTGCTTGAGCCAGGCCAGAACAGGGGGGCAGGGCAGCCCATGCAAGAGGGCCAACAGAACCCTGAGACGTATTTTTTCTTGGATTGGTTGGTTGCTTTGGGGGTGCATTTCGTATGGTCCTTCTTTTGTTGGCTCCTCCGTGTCTTCTTGGTGTGGTGGGCCCCGAGATTTGTAGAGTGTATCTGTCCCTCTGGTAGGAGCCGTGGCGTGGAGCGTGCCCATGGGGCCTGAGGCCTGGGTGTCTCTCGTGTCCTCGGGACTGGAGTTTACTCGAAGTCGGTGGCAATGGGAATCCGGGTGCACAGGGACGGATTTCCTCGTGACTGGCAATGGCAATGTCCTTCCCCTGGGGAAAGAAGCCCATAGGTCCTGGAGCAGAGGTTTTGGCTGGCATTTGTGGGACCCTCTGCCCCTGGCCGCCACTTGTCCTGGGCTTGAACTGTTGTGTGGCGCCGGATGAGTAAACTGAATTGCCTGGGCATCCCGGGAGCGTGAAGACACCAGGCACCTCAGGGAACATATACCACCCCGCCCCAGCTGGAGCCAGGCTCCTGGTGGGGCTGCAGCAAGGCGGAAGAGGTGGGATGCTGTTGCCTGGCGGTGCTGCAGTGGTGCACCCCCACGAGGAGGTCCCAGGCTGCTGTGGGGCCGCAGGCGAGGGGAAAAGTGGGAGCAGAGTCAGGGGAAGGTTGTGAAGCACGACAAAAGGGGGAAAGAGGGAGGGAGGGGGAAGGCAAAAGCCTACAGCACCCGGCATTCCCAGAGATCCTCCCATTCAAGTACTAACCACTCAAGGCCTTTGGTCTCTACAATTAGCCAGCCATGTCTATGTTCTTTCCTTCAGGGCAGTGAGTTCTCTCAGTCCCTGGCTGGGTCCAGAAGTGCCATTCAGAAGTCAGGGAGTAGAGTCAAACATTTTAGAAGTAAACCAGACATTCTATTGCATTGCAGCTGAGTTGGCATTGAAATCACAAGACACAGTCCTTCCTATTCCTTCTTTCCTTTTCCAAAGGCACAGTAGCCACCAGGACTCCAGGACACAAGGAGTACTGCCAGGCTACCACCAATGTTCCCTTAAGGCCCAAAGCCTCTTGTCAGCTTGTGATGAATGCTGCCTGGCCTGGGACTTGCAGTTTTCAGGGCAATGGGCTCCTCACTGGCCCTGGGCAGGTCCATACATGCCAACCAAGAATCAAGTCCTAGAATCAGGGATTCCAAAAGCTTGCTTGGTGTTCTACCCACCTCTGGCCTTGCTGGTACCTAAGTGGCAAGACAAAGTCCCCTTTACTTTTTCCCTCTGCTTTTCCCAAGCAAAAGGAGTTTTGCCCTTTAGCCATCACAGCTTGTAATGTGCTGAGTCTCACCTAAATCTAGCAAGACTATGAGGCTCACCCAAAGCCCTTGATGTAGTATCTGGCTATGGCTCCTGGTTATTCAGGGCCCAAAGGTTGTTAAGTTTGCAGGTGGTAAATGCTGCCAGCACTGGGTTCTTTCCTTCAAGGCAGCAGGTTTCTTTTTGGCCAGGGTATGTCTAGGAATGTCTAGACAGGAGCCAGAGCCTGGAAAGGAGGCCTCAGAACTCTGACTAGTGTGCTATCTTGCTGTGGCTGAGCTGGTATCCAGTCCTCTCTACTCTTTTCCTTCCTCTCCTCAAGCAGAAGGATGGGGTCCCTTTTGGAGCCATGAGATGTGCAGCCTGGTATTAGGGGAGTGATAATGCCAGAACTCCTTTGGCTGCCCCAGCTGGTGTCTCAGTATGTTGCATGCCCTCTCCACCCCAGCCCACTGTTCCTGGGCCTAGTTCAGCCCTAGGCCTCACCTGAGAGTTGCAGTCCTGATGGCCTAGGCTGTCTTTCAAGGTTTCTTAGATACAAAGAGTGCTGGAACCCTCAGTTGCCAGGTTTCCAAACACTCAAGTTCCAACCACTGGAGTCTGATTCCCCTCTGGCTAGTGCTGCTTTAAATGATCTCTCTGTGGATGGGCATTAACAGCTTTTGGTCTGGTTTTCCTTTCTGCTCTAACAGGACAGCACTGGGTTCTTTGCCTCACAATTGCTGTGTTCTCCCTCCTGCAGAACCCAGAGTTGATCTCTACACCACGCCATCACTGCCAGGGGTGAGGAAATTCTGGCACCAGTGATTCAGCACTGTTTTTTTCTCTCTCTTCAGTGCCTCTTTCAGTGATATGAAGTTAAAACCAGGTACTTTGAGTACTCACCTGATTTTTGGTTCTTATGAATGTATTTTCTATGTAGATATTAATAGTTGTTCATCTGGTGCCCTTGCAGGATGGATGATTGTTGGCGCCTTCTTTCTGCCACCTTGCTTTACCCTCACACCCAAGAATCAGAATGCAGAACTTTTAATAAGAAAAGCTTTCAGAACTCAGGAAGGACCAGGAAGATATTCTGGTTCTCCATGCTTAACATTGGACTGTTTCTTCAACTTAGGTGCATAGCACTGACTAATCAGGGATTATCATAGATAATTTGACTTGGACTATGGAGTTCATTCAAATACTTTAGACAATTTTAGTGCTGGCTGACTTGGCAGGAAAATCTGGCAAAGTATTTTCTTGGTATTCAATTGATTTTTATTCTGCTTGGGTTAGCAGTTTTATAAAACAGTCAGTCTCTGCATTAAAGTTCTGGGAATTCTTACCTAGTTCGAATGATAATGATTCTAAAGTTCTCAAAAATCTGTATTCAAGAGTGCTTCTCAGGACATTTTCCATCCTTTCATGAAACTCCTTAAAGATACAATATTCTAGGATTTTGCAAGCTTGTAAATTTTTAGAAATTAACTCAGAATTAAGCAATTTACACTGGACATGACTTTAAATTGTCATAGTTAGACACAATTGACAAGAAAATTTTATTTACAGGCGTGAGCCACTGCGACTGGCCTCTGAAGTTAATTTAATAAAACTTCATAAATAAATGTATCAAATGTGTCATCTTTTCATCCCAGATTTTTGTGAATCTATGCCTTGCATTTTCCCCCAACTTTCTATATTTATCTAGTTTTATCTATTTTTTACTTCTTCAATTTGAAACCTTTAAGTAACTTCAAACAAAAAAAATTAAAACAATTTTTTTTGAGACGGAGTCTGGCTCTGTTGCCCACGCTGGAGTGCAATGGGGTGATCTCGGCTCACTGCAAGCTCCGCCTCCTGGGTTGACGCCATTCTCCTGTCTCAGCCTCCCCAGTAGCTGGGACTACAGGAGCCCGCCACTAAGCCTGGCTAATTTTTTTGTATTTTTAGTAGAGACGGGGTTTCACCGTGTTAGCCAGGATGGTCTCCATCTCCTGACCTGGTGATCCACCCGCCTCGGCCTCCTAAAGTGCTGGGATTACAGGCGTGAGCCACTGCACCCAGCAAAACACATTTTTATACCTTTATAAGTTTTCTCATTAAAAGCATATCTTCACAAGCCAGTAATCCCAGCACTTTGGAAGGCCAAGGCAGGTGCATCACTTGAGGTCAGGGGTTCGAGACAAGCCTCGCCAACATGGTGAAACCCTGTCTCTACTAAAAATACAAAAATACGCCCGGTGTGGTGGTGAGCACCTGTTATCCCAGCTACTTGGGGGGCTAAGGCAGGTGAATCACTTGAACCTGGGAGGCGGAGGTTGCAGTGAGCTGAGATCATGCTACTGCATGCCAGCCTGGGCAACAGAACAAGACTCAGTCAAAAAAAAAAAAAGGCCGGGTGCGGTGGCTCACGCCTGTAATCCCAGCACTTTGGGAGGCCGAGGTGGGAGGATCACAAGGTCAGTAGATCAAGACCATCCTGGCTAACACGGTGAAACCCTATCTCTACTAAAA
Organism: Homo sapiens; assembly: GCF_000001405.40. Classification (NCBI taxonomy): domain Eukaryota; kingdom Metazoa; phylum Chordata; class Mammalia; order Primates; family Hominidae; genus Homo; species Homo sapiens. The sequence goes on along the minus strand of NC_000012.12, from coordinate 34,200,828 downwards.
ATACAAAAAATTAGCCGGGCATGGTGGTGGGCGCCTGTAGTCCCAGCTACTCGGGAGGCTGAGGCAGGAGAATGGCATGAACCCAGGAGGCGCAGCTTGCCGTGAGCCGAGATTGCACCACTGCACTCCAGCCTGGGCGACAGAGCGAGACTCCATCTCAAAAAAAAAAAAAAAAAAAAAAAAAAAAAAAAAAGAAAGAAAAAAAGAAGAAAAGCATATCTTGCTTTTTATACACCCTGTATGCAGAATTGTTAATTAATTAAGTCTTAGTAACCCCAATTTCAGTGAAAACCCTAAAGAGTAATTTTCAACTGTCTTATATTTGTGTTTTTAGATAAAAAACCATTTTATAATTTTTAAGAAATATAATTCTTCAAATTATTTTTTATTAACAGAACTAAAGATATTTAGGTTTTCTATACCATATACAAGTAACATGTCATGGTATATAGACCTAATTTTTTATGGTGAATATTTCATTATTTTAGCTTACAAATGACTCAAGACATTTTATAATTACCTGTTACTTAATTTAACATGACTTTAAGGTTTTAAATTACTGAACAGAATTTTGAAACTATGACACAGGTAGCATCCCTAATGTCTTCCCTCAGTAATTCTAGATCCCAAGTAGCCACATGGCACCCAGGCAAACTATGAAGATCAGGGCCTGCCTGAGTCCATTAGGACTAAAGACAGAGCTGTGAAGTCTATACCTGTAGGATCCAACCCCTCCTAAAACAGCAAGGAGGCAAAATAGGAAAAGCAAAGAAAGAAGGTGCCAATTGGGCTTGATTCTGGCTTGTAGCTGCTGGTCTAGACACTGAGAACATGTCTCCAGACTTCATCATGGACACTTATCAAGACCCCCTGAATCCAGAAATTCTCAACAAAAGACATAAGCTCACAGCTAAATCCAGCAAGTATCTAATTATATTTAACGGATAATTATAAAGCCATTTTTATTTTAGTAACAATTTAAGAACGAGTTTTATTTACAAAATATTATCACATACATGTGACACATATAGACATACAAACACACAAGGAGCAGATCTTATAGCTTTCATAAAGTATTTAAAAATTTTTTTATTTTAGGTTCAGGGGTACATGTGAAGGTTTCTTACTTAGATAAACTCATATCACAGGGGCTTGTTATACAGATTATTTTGTAACCCAGGTATTAAGCCCAGTACCCCATAGTTATCTTTTCTGCTCCTCTCCCTCCTCCCACCCTCCGCCTTCAAGTAGACCCCAGTGTCTGTTATTTCCTTCTTTGTGTTCATAAGTTCTCATTATTTAGCTCTCACTTATAAGTGAGAACATGTAGCTGCATAGTATTCCATGGTGCATATGTGTGTTCTGCGAGAGAAATGTGTGAGGAGAGAAGGAAAGAAACACACAATACTTTTAAGGGTAAACAGACTTTATCCGAATTATATGGCAATACAGATATAATAAGCAAATTATCTAATAAGCAAATGATATAATAAATTGTAATGGGAAGGGGAGAAGGGAAAAGACATATATATAATATATATACATATACATATATACATACATATATATTTACACTCACCAGACGATGGAGGATTCATCACCAGACCGGGAAGCAACAGCCTGTGCTCCAGAGTTGACCAATAGTCCATGCACAGACAAGGAGAGGTCCCATGAAGCTTCGGTGCCATCCGGGAACCTAGCTCTTTTTGTAACATGTTGTTTGACATGAGGCCCAGTTATGAGGGCCCTTCTTGACTGGGCTCAAGGAACACAAAAAGGTCAACTTGTTTTTGCAATTGTCGTTTTTCAATAACTATTTCTCTGAAACAGTGCTGAATGAATGCCTCCAGGGGCTCACACAACTCGTTCCGGGACTTAGTGACCATTGTTTGTGTCCATGTTCAATTGCGTTCAAATTTAATATTTAACTTTTCCTCTAAAATTTGCCACATTACCTTTATCCCATCTGTCATCGATGGGCATTTAGGTTGATTCCATGTCTTTACTATTGTGAATAGTGCTGCAATAAACATTTATGTGCTTGTGTCTTTATGATAGAATAATTTATATACCTCTGGGTATATACCCAGCAATGATATTGCTGGGTCAAGTGATGGTTCTGCTTTTAGCCCTTTCGAGGAATTACCATACTGCTTTCCACAACAGTGGGACCAATGTACACTCTCAGCAACAGTGTATGTGTTGTCTTTCTCCACAACCTTGCCAGCATCTGTTATTTTTTGACTTTTTAGTAATAGCCATTCTGACTGGTATGAGATGGTGTCTCACTGTGCCTTTGATTTGCATTCCTCTAATGATCAGTCATATTGAGCTTTGTATTATATGGTGGTTGGTCACATGTATGTATTCTTTTGAAAAGTGTTCATGTCTTTTGCTCACTTTTTTTTTTTATTTCCATAGGTTTTGGGGCCACAGGTGGTGTTTGGTTACATAAATAAGTTCTTTATTGGTGATTTGTAAAATTTTGGTACATCCATCACCTCATCAGTATACACTGAACCCAATTTGTAGCATTGTATCCCTCACCCCCTTCACCCCTTTCCCCTGAGTCCCCGAAGTCCATTGTGTCTTTGCATCCTTATAGCTTAGCCCCCGCTTATAAGTGAGAATATTAATTCATTCATTTTTATGGCTGAGTAGTATTCCATCGTACATATACACCACAGTTTCTTTATCCACTCATTGATTGATGGGCATTTGGATTGGTTCTACATTTTTACAATTGCAAATTGTGCTGCTATAAATATGTGTGTGCAAGTATCTTTTTTGTATAATGACTTTTTTTTCCCACTGTGTACATAGCCAGTAGTGGGATTGCGGGATCAAATGGTACTTCTACTTTTAGTTCTTTAAGGAATCTCCACACTGTTGTCAATAGTGATTGTATTAGTTTACATTCCCACCAGCAGTGTAGAAGTGTTCCTTTTTCACCACATTCACACCAACATCTATTATGTTTTTATTTTTTGATTATAACCATTCTTGTGGGAGTAAGATGGTATCGCATCATGGTTGTAATTTGCATTTCTCTGATTATTAGTGATGTTGAGCATTTTTCCATATGTTTTTTGGCCATTTGTGTATCTTCTAAGATTGTCTGTGACCATGGTGCCAAAAGCAATCTATAAATTCAATGCAATTGCCATCAAAATACCACCATCATTCTTCACAGAACTAGAAAAAAAAATTCTAAAATTCATACGGAACCAAAACATTGCCCACATAGCCAAAGCAATACTAAGCAAAAAGAACAAATCAGAAGGCATCACATTACCTGATTTCAAGCTATATCATAAGACCATAGTCACCAAAACAGCATGGTTCTGGTATAAAAATAGGCACATAGACAAATGGCACATAATAGAGAACTCAGAAATTAACCCAAATATTTACAGCCATCTGATCTTTGACAAAGCAAACAAAAACAAAGTGGGGAAAGAACACCCTACTCAACAAATGGTGCTGGGATAATTGGCAAGCCACATGTAGGAGAATGAAACTGGATCTTCATCTCTCACCTTATACAAAAATCAACACGAGATGGATCAAGGACTTAAATCTAAGACCTGAAACTATAAAAATTCTAGAAGATGACATCGAAAAAACCCTTCTAGACATTGGCTTAGGCAAGGATTTCATGACCAACAACCCAAAAGCAAATGCAAGAAAAACAAAGATTAATAGGTGGGATTTAATTAAACTAAAGAGCTTTTTCACTGCAAAAGCTTTTTCACTCTTTACTCTGCGCAGTCAGCAGAGTAAACAGACAATCCACAGAATGGGAGAAAATCTTCACAATCTGTATATCTGACAAAGGACTAATACCCAGCATCTACAACGAGCTCAAACAAATTAGCAAGAAAAAAAAACAAACAATCCCATCAAAAAGTAGGCTAAGGACATGAATAGACAGTTCTTTGGCCACGTTTTAATAGGGCTCTTTGTTTTTTCTCTTGTGAATTTATTTAAGTTCCTTGTGTTGAATATTAGACCATTGACAGATACCTAGTTTGTAAATATGTTTTCTCAGTTTGTAGGTTGTCTCTTCACTCTATCGATAATTTCTTTTGCTGAGCAGAAGCTTTTAAGTTAAATTAGATCCCACTTGTCAATATTTGCATTGGTTGTAATTGTTTTTGGTGTCTTTATCATGGAATCTTTGCCTGTTTCTATGTCTAGGATGGTATTGTCTAGGTTGTCTTCCAGGGCTTTTATAGTTTTGGGTTTTACATTGAAGTCTTTAATCCATCTTGAGTTGATCTTTGTATACGGTGTAAGGAAGAAGTCCAGCTTCGATCTTCTGCATATGGCTAGCCAGTTATCCCAGCACCATTTATTGAATAGGGAGTCTTTTTCCCATTGCTTGTTTTTGCCAGATTTGTCAAAGATTATATAGTTGTAGGTGTGTGGTCTTATTTCTGGGATCTTTATTCTGTTCCATTGGTGTGTGTGTCTTTCCGTACAAATACCATGCTGTTTTGGTTACTGTAGTGCTGTACTATGGTTTGAAGTCGGGCAATGTGATGCCTCAAGCTTTGTTCCTTTTGCTTAGGATTGCCTTAGCTAGTTAGGTTTTTTCTTGGTGCTATATGAATTTTTAAATAGCTTTTTCTAGTTCCGTGAAGCAAGTCATTGGTAGTTTAATAGGAATAGCTTTGGGCAGTATGGCCATTTAAATGATATTCGTTCTTTCTCTCCATTAGCATGAAATGATTTTTCATTTGTTTGTGTCTTCTCTCACATGTTTGAGCAGTGTTTTGTAATTTTTATTGTAGAGATCTTTCACCTCCCTGGTTAGCTGTATTCCTAGGTATTTTATTCTTTTTGTGGAAATTGTGAATAAAATTGCCTTTCTGATTTGTCTCTCAGTTTGGCTCTTCTTGGTATATAGGGATGCTAGCAAATTTTGTACATTGATTTTGTATACTGAAACCATGTGGAAGTTGTTTATCAGCTTAAGGAGCCTTTTGGGTCACAACTGTACGGTTTAGCTAGAGAATTATGTTGTCTCCAAACAGAGGCAGTTGGACTTCGCTTTCTATTTAAATACCCTTTATTTCTTTCTCTTATCTGATTGCTCCAGTAAGAACTTCTAATACTATGTTGAGTAGGAGTGGTGAGAGAGGGCATCCTTGTCTTGTGTGGGTTTCAAGGAGAATTCTTCCAGATTTTGCCCATTTAGTATAATGTTGGCTGTGAGTTTGTCATAGATGGCTTTTATTATTTTGAGGTATGTTCCTTCAATAGCTCATTTATTGAGAGTTTTTAACATGAAGCATTGTTGAATTTTACTGAAAACCTTTTCTGCATCTACTGAGTCAATCATGTGGTTCTTGTCTTTAGTTTTATTTATGTTATGAATCACATTTTATTGATTTGTCCATGATGGACCAATCTTCCATTCCAGGGAAGAAGCCTACTTCGCTGTGGCGAATTACCCTTTTGATGTGCTGCTGGATTTGGTTTGCAAGGATTTTGTTGTGGATTATTGAATGAATGTTCATCAAGGATACTGGCCTGAAGCTTTCTTTTTTTGTTGTGTCACTGCCAGGCTTTGGTATCAGGATGATGCTGGCCTCGTAGAACAAGTTGGGAGGAGTCCCTCCTCCTCTATTTCTTGAAATAGTTTTAGTAGGAATGGTACTGGCTCTTCTTTGTACATCTGTTAAAATTTGACTGTTAATCTGTCAGGTCCTGGGCTTTTTTTTTTTTTTTTTTTTGTTTGGTAGGCTATTTATTACTGATTCAATTTTTTGAGCTCATTATTGGTCTGTTAAGATACTGAATTTCTTCCTGGTTCAGTCTTGAGGGGTGTATGTGTCCAGGAATTTAATCATCTCTTCTAGGGTTTCTAGTTTGTGTGTGTAGAGGTGTTCATAGTAGTTCCTGATTATTATTTTTATTTCTGTGGGGTCAGTGGTAACATTCCCTTCATCATTTCTAATTGTGTTTATTTGAATCTTCTTTCTTTTCTTCTTTATTAGTCTAGCTAGTGCCTATCTATCTTATTAATTTTTTTCAAAAAACCTTAAGTGATCTTTTGAACAGTTTTTTAGGCTCAAGTTCTTTCAGTTCAGCTCTGATTTTAGTTATTTCTTGTCTTCTGCAAGCTTTGTGGTTGATTTCTTCTTGCTTTTCTAATTCTTTCAGTTGTGATGCTAGGTTGTCAATTTGAGATCTTTCTAACTTTGATGTGGGCATTACTTCTTATGCCCTATTCTAACTTTTCTCCTTCTCCTAGAAAACTCAGAACCATGCTTTCTAAAGCAATTCAAACTTTCTCAGTGAATCAACCTGGTCTCCCTGAGGCAAAGTTAGCAATTTTCCATTACACATGGTTCTCTTTCTCTGTAAGAATATCTAATGCAACAATGCAAGTGTTTCATTCCCTTCTGGATATGTGGGGAACTCCTTTTGGCTGAGACCAAGACTTAAAACTTTGTTCTTTCAACATTAATGAAGATCTATTTAGAAAGTCTCCATTTTTACAGAAAAGATATATAAATACCAATGAAAATAAATATAAAATTATATGACATACAATTATATCGTGGAAAGACTGAATAAATAAGTGTACTAAGCTCTAAGAAAAAAAAAGAAGGTGATACAAAATGATACATAAATGAAAAACCTCGGCTGGTATAGCATAATTAATGTACCAGTAAAGTATGTACATTGCAGAAGTGGCAGGAAAACTGCATGCAGAGTGAGACCTGACCATAAAGCTTTAAGGAAAGGTCAGATCTCTGTTTGGAGACTGGAAAGGGAGACAAGGAGAGGCCAGAAAATATAAATTGTTTGATCTATACCCTTAAAAAAAGATTAAAGTGGACTCAGGAAAACATGGTCCGCTTTAGGAGAAGGACACATGTTCCATGCTGGCCAAAGCTCAGAGCATCCCTACCTTCTCCAGGCGGAAAGGGGGAGGCAAAGAAGCAGGCAGATGGCAACATGGCCAGGTCAGCACAGGGCACCTAGGCCAAGCCAGGCGGGCTCCACTCTACAGGTAGTGAGGAGCCACTGCAGGGTGGGCTTTATTCATTAGTTTGTTTTCTTTTCTTTAGTAACTAAGACACATGATCAAAGTTTACCTTTGTAAGTATTGCTGCAGCTCAACATAGGATGGGTAAAACTAGTATTTTAAAAGTTATGTTGTGTAGAACACTAGCCCCAGTGAGATATTAGTGAAACACACAGGCACACACACACACACATGCACACACTCACACTGAGCCCAGATTATTCTGGCAAATGCTGGGTTAAGCAAACTGAAAGAAACATCTTTAGTGCTGGACTTCTCAGAACCTAGAACGTGGCTATGTGACTCACAAAACAGCAAGTTTAAGACAGAGCATGTGATTTTTTTTCCAGAAATATTGAAACACTTTCCTTTCCTTGGCTTCAGTATCACCTTCTTTCTCCTCATTCTCCATCAACCTCTTTGGCTGCTTCTTCTTGGTTTCCTTCTTGACAATCTGCTGCTGCTCAGCCATTCTCTTTTCATTCCCCATGGATTTCTTAAGTGTGTTTCTATTCCTGCAGATTAAACTTTCCTTGTTTTTCCTGACACCTCTCCTTGTTTGAACCTCCACCGTTCTAAGACAGTTGTTCCATCTGTGTGCACTTTTGGCATCCCGGGATGCTCCCAGCATGTTCCCTGCTGCACTCCATCAGGTTTTCTCCCCCAGACTCTGCAAGGGCAGCAGGCTTGTCTCCACTGTTCCTTCAATACTCTGCATATAACACAGAAGCCGACTCCATAACATTTAGTTGGCCAACTGAGACTAAATATATGTTCCTCCAGATCTTAAAAAGTTACAATATTCTCACTCATAGGTGGGAATTGAACAATGAGATCACATGGACACAGGAAGGGGAACATCACACTCTGGGGACTGTTGTGGGGTGGGGGGAGGGGGGAGGGATAGCATTGGGAGATATACCTAATGCTAGATGACAAGATAGTGGGTGCAGCGCACCAGCATGGCACATGTATACATATGTAACTAACCTGCACAATGTGCACATGTACCCTAAAACTTAAAGTATAATAATAAAAATAAATAAAGAAAGAAAGAAAGAAAGAAAAAAAAGTTACAATAAAAAACATAGCACTATAGTCAAAAAAATTCCCTTTAGTCAGGAGTTCTCTATATATGCATAACAGTTATAAGTCATTATTAGGCAAAGTTGAGAAATTGTCACGAAGTTCCCTAAGATAAATTATTTTGCTTTAATCTTCAATTCATCATGTGAGATAATCAAGACCATGTGGTGTTGTAAATATTTCTAGCTTACAACATAACAACCTGATTTTTATTGTTCAAAATAACCACATTATAAATCAGTTAAATAAAAATTGCATAAATAATCCTTTCAAATAAAATTCTGTCTAAATTTTACATTACTCATATGTTCAAATGATAATGAGCTCATAGGCTTTTCCAATACCTCAGTCAAAACATTGTACTGATTGCAGCTGTGGGAATAGTAGTTGAGAGTTATGTTACAGGTGGGGAAAAGGTACTTCCGTGACATTGGCCTTTGCACTACTATGCCCTTTTGGGTCAGGAAAAAGCTGTTCCCTTAAAATTCTAAAATCTCTTCTGTCAGGTTTGAAGGGTGGGTAGGAAACACAGTTTTTAAAATTTTAGCCACAGATGTTTTATTCCTTGCTTAAAGCAGTGACTAGATAAAGGCCACTAGAAGAGCCTCTAATGTTTCTTCAGAAGCAGTGTGCCTGAGAGCATCTTCCTGAAACACTCCCTTATCTGTGCTCAAAATCACCTAGGTAGGAAAGTCAAAACTTAGAAGGCCGAGGAGATCCAAGGGGATCACTGAGCTCTGACGCTTATGAGAGAAGAGAGAGAGTTCTGAGACTTTTCGTGTATAAATTTATAGGTTACAAGTCCAATTTTGCTGTAAGCGTGGATTGCATAGTGGTGAAGTCAGGGCTTTTAGGGTATCCATCACCTGGATAGTGCACATTGTACCTATTAAGTAATTTCTCACTATTCGCCCCTTCCATCCCCTCACCCTGCTGAGTCTCCATTATCATTCCACTCTCTATATCAATACCTACACATCTTTTAGCACCCACTTATGAGTGATAAAACATGTTTACTCTGTGTCTGGCTTGTTTCACTTACAATAATGGCGTCCAGTTCCATCCATGTGTCTGCAATAGTTATGATTTTATTCTTTTTTATGCTTGAATATTATTTCATTGTGTATATTTTCTACATTTTCTTTCTCCAATCATCTGTTGATAGACATTTTGGTTGGTTTTATATCTGTGATACTGTGAATAGTATTGCAACAAACATATGAGTACAGGTATCTTTCTGATACATTGATTTCTTTTCCTTTGTGTAGATACCCAGCCGTGGGATTGCTAGATCAGACAGAGCCAATTGATGATCAGCAGGGCCTGAAAATGCCAAAACCCTGAAACAACTGACCTTCGAAAACTTCAACATCCCTGAACGAAACGTCCAAACACATTTATCCACCAATCAAAGACCCTTTATAGTCTGTGCTCTGTGCATCTCAGAAGTCTCTCTTTACCACACTGTCTATATACTGCATGAGCCATTATATGAAACTCCAAGGCATCTTATACTATATATTCAACCATGTATCCCTAGTACCTAGTACAGTCCTGCCATATAGTTTGCTACTAAACATTTGCAGAATGAAGTAATTATCTTGTATCCAGGTTCCAAGTTTTAAGGTGATTTCTCACTAAAAATAAAGCATTACAGTTCGCAAGCAATGTACTTCCTTTTTTACAAATGAGATCGACTTTAATCTTATCCCCTAATAACATTATTTTCATTTACTTCCATCTAAATATACTGTCCTAAGAGAGCAATAAGAAAGAGAGTTAAAGCTGGAGCTTGAAGAATTGTACATGGTCCACAGTGTGGCCTGACGTGCACTGCTCACCTGAGCTTCATCTGTTAGGTATGTCAGGGAAGATAAGCAGGGCGAGAGTGACCCCAACAGAGGACTCCAGATCTCTGGCTTCCCCATCTGACAAGTACACTTCAGTGAACAAAGACTTCAGAGCTAGATGACAAGAATAGCCAAAGCAGTCCACCAGGGAAACCTGGGCCCAGTGTACATCAATGCAGAGCATCAAGCACAGCATAACAGGTGTTATAGTTGCCTATTCCTGTTCAGAGATAACTGCATCCCACACACTGTAAAATGAGGAAATGCAGAGAAGCAGATGTAACTGAAGGAGACAGCAGGAGCAACAAGGAGGGACAACCATGACCTAGGAGGGCACCATGCCAGAGACGCCTGGACCCCATGCTAGGCTCAGTGCCCATTGTACTGTTGGGACCCAGTGCTTCCCTCTCCAACACTTGGCATACTTGGCATTTTTTTTTTTTTTTTTGCTTAAAATAATGTTTTTAGTGTTCACCTTTCCTAGGAGACAGGCCGATCCTGTGACACTACAGTTTCTGGCACACAATAGGTGCATCACAAACATCTGCTGAGTTCACACACTCTTCTCAAACCTTGTCAAGTCTTCAGTGAAAAGGAATTGCTGATTGAGCAAGAATTAAACCTAGAAACTCCTGGATCCACTGAAGTTTGAGAAAAGGTGAGATTTGTTTACTGCCATATTCCTAGCTTACTGTAGTCACTTAATAAATGTTTGTTGAATAAGTGAGTGCATTGATTCATACATCTTACTTAGTTATAAGTTTTCTGAGTAAAATTGATAAATTTAATAGTTTACTTCTGGTATAATTTTACTTTAATTATTCAACAAACCTGACAATTCAGCTAGGTGCCAGGCACACTGCTGCTGAAGAAAAAGAGGTATAAGATACAATTTCTGTCTACATGAAAGCCACAGTCTAAAAAGTAGAAACATATGAACAAATTATAACAATAAATTGGCTAAATTCAAAATCTGAGGGGTTTGTTTCTATTTTAAACAGCTCTAGTCAGGAAGTGTTAAAATAGAAAGTTCTAAACAGGAAATGTTCCAACACACCATCTAAGCATGAAACAGAATCCACCTATAATTGAGCTTGCTACTACCAACCCCAACAGCAAGAATTCCAATACTGCTGCTGCAAAATAAGTGTCACTCTGATTTTATTCCTGCTATGCAACCCAGTTTTAGACTCTGGTTGTCACTTAATGTTCTAAAAAAGTATTAAAGAGAAAATATTATGATGATAAGCTTATTCACTGCAGCCATCTCAACATCGTACCAATTATAAGGCCTATCATTTAAAAAGAAAACTGTTTGTTTAACTTATTTATCCAAATATCAGTGTAACATAAACATATTTGCCATCAGACTTTGGATTTATTGGTTAAATAGCATATAAATATGATTAGAGGCTTAAAATTTACATTTTTCTGGTTCTTTCAATTTTTTTTTCAAAATAGCATATGCCTTTCTAAAAAATTGTTAGTGTATTTTTTAAAATGAACATTACAGGATATATTTTCCAATAGCAAAATACCCATTGGTAAATGATGGTGTTGAGATACAACAGGCAATTTCTCTTGGGAGCTATTTAATCAGTGCTCACTTTTACACTCTGTCCAAAAATGTCAATGGCTTTAAAATATAGAAGTATATTACACAACTAAACTTACACTTATTTAGTATTGTGCAACATTTAGTACTTATTCTAGCTATCTCTTGATGAATAGTAAGCCATCCCAAAACTTAAGGAATTATTTATTGTTTAATATTGTTTATTGTTATTATTTGTTTAGTAATTTTAACTAACATTATTTCTCATGGTTTTGTGGGCGCTACAAAAGTTCTCTTTTGGAGTCTTTCTTGCAGTTGAAGTTGGTTGGCTGCTGCTGAAGTCACCTGAAAACTCAACTAAGCTAAAGAGCCTAGATGGGTTACTCAGATGACTGGCAGTGCATATTGGCTACTGTGTGTGATGCCTATCTGACCTCTCTATATTACCTGGAGTCCTCACAATGTGGTAGTTAGTCCCAAGACACACAGGCAAATACTATAAAGCTTCTTATGACCTACCCTTGGAGGTTCTAGAATATGACTTCTGCTGCATCCTATTGGTAAAGCAAGTCATTGTGACCAGCACAGGTTCAAGAAATGGGAGAGTAGACTCTACCTGTCAATGTAAAGAGCAGCATGTGCATGCAGGGAGGAAAGAAATTGAGGGCATCATCTTGAAGACTATCATATCACACCATTATTCCAACTAATGAACATCATGTTTTAGATGGGTTGTACTAGCTACTCATGTCTCTCCCAGAAACCCAAGCTAGGCATTAACATACTGAAAAGAATGTCAGTACCATTAAAAAAAACTCTAGAAAAATCACATGTGATGACTGAGGTTAATTCAGTCTCTCAATTACATCAATATAATTCCCTTCTAGTAACCCTAAATATGTTAAAACAGAATTGAATTCTACAAAAGCCTTTTGTCTGTTTTCCTATGGAATAATTAACAAAACCAATAAATGTGTAAAGAGTATGAAGTCAAATTTAGTTTAGATTTATCCCTCTTAATTTCAAAGCTTATAGAAATCCAGAGAACAAATCATCATAATCCATAATGCCTGGACCAGAAGTCATTGTTCTAAGAGCATCCTGTGGCATGCTAAAAATATATTACTAATTAGGAAATTTAAACTCTTTTGTTGGTGATTTTAAGAGAGCTGACTAGCTCATCAGCACAATTCACACATATTAAGAATGGAGGTTACTCTGCTGAGTGGATTCATAATGATCAGAAAAACATTCACAAATGAGAAAAGGAGATAGAGAAGGGGAAACATACTGTCAATCACTAAAATTAAAGTGACTTTTCAAATGGTTTGATTTTGTATTTTTTCAAAGGAAAGGCAGCTTATTGTGACAGAATAAGAATCCCACTTGTATGTCTTCTTTTGAGAAGTGTCTGCTTATGTCCCTTGTCAATGTTTTAATGGCATGGTTTTCTTAATGTTCAACATCACTAATTATCAGAGAAATGCAAATCAATGTAAGACACCATCTCATTATTCAGTATGGCTACTATTAAAAAGTAAAAAAATAACAAGTTCTGGTTAGACTTCAGAGAAAATAAAATGCTTATATTCTGTGGTGAGAACGTAAGTTAGTTCAGCCACTGTGAAAAGCAGGTTGGAGATTTTTCAAAGAATTTAAAACAGAAGGGCCATTCAACCAGCAATTCCATTACTGAGTATATACCCAAAAGGAAATTACAAATTCTACAAAACAAAACCTTGTATATTCATCATATTGCTATTCACATTAGAGAAGGCATGGAATTAACTTATGTGTGAATCAATAAAATGGATAGAAATATGTGCCACATAAACACCGTAAGATACTATGCACACATTAAAAAGGATACAATCATGTTCTGTGCAGCAACATGGATGCATCTGGAGGCCATTATCCTAAGGAAATTAATACAGGAACAGAAAACCAAATACCACGGGCTCTTGCCTATAAGTGGGATCTAAACATGGGGTACTCATGAATATAAAGATATCAACAGAAGACACTGAGAACTACTAGATGAAGGAGGGAAGGAGGAGGGCAGAGGGTGAGAAACTATTGGTGCTATGCTCACTACCTTGGTGATGGGATCAATTATATCCCACAATATATGCTCACTACTGTGGTGATGGGATCAATAATATCCCACATAGCTCAGCATCACACAATATATCCACGTAGAAAACCTGCAAATGTACTCCTTGAATCTAAAATTTTAAGGCAGAGACCGAGTAACAAGGCAGAATAGAAGCCTACACCACTCATCCCCATACAAAAACACAAAATTTTCACAACTCACTACATTCAAGAAGCACTGTCAAAGGGACCAAAAATTAGGTGAGCACTCACAGTACCTGGTATTAACTTCATATCACTGAAAAAGACATTGGAGAAGATAAAAAAATGACAGTCTAGAAACACCGATGCCACCTCTTTTTCAACCACCAGTAGTGGCCACAAGGTGCAGAGATTGTATGTTTGGGAGAGGGAGAGCACAACTTGTGAGGCTTTGCAATAAACTCAGTACTACCATGTCACAGTAAAAAGCAGAACCAAATAATACTCAGCTGACATCTGCCAATAGAGGGAGCATTTGGATTGGCCCTAGCAAGAGGAAAATCTCCCATCTCAGTGTTGGGAGTTTGAGTCTTTACAAGCCTTGCCATCATGAGTTGAAGTGCTATTGGACCCTAAGAGAACTTAAGGGGCAGTCTAGGCCACAAGGACTTCAATTATTAGGCAAGTCATACTGCTGAGCTGAGCTCTGAGCCAGTCGAATGTGGAAGGTGGGGAGAATGTGGCCTACTGAGACACCAGCCAGAGCAGCTAAGGGAGTGCTCACAACCCCACTCCCCCACCCCCCACCCAGCAGCAGCCACACAACACAGAGAAACCTGTGAATTTGGGAGAGGGAGAGCATAGTTACTGGAGACCTTTACATAAACTCAGTGCTGCCATGTCAGTAAAGACCTGGCAGAATTCATCAGCTGCTGACTAAAGAACCCCTATACCCAGAATAAAAAAACAGTGATACCCAGGTAATATACCATGGGTATTGGGCTCTGAGAAGTGCTAACTTCAGGTGTGACCCAGCACATTTCCAGCTATGGTAGCTATGGTGAAAGACTTCTGTTTGAGAAAAGCAGGGGGGGAAGTAAAAGGAACTCTGTTTTGCACCTCATATACCAGCTCAGCCACAAGATAGAGCACCAAGCAGATTCTTAGAGTCCCTGAGTCCAGGCCTAGGGTCTCGGTTAGCATTTCTGCACTTGCCCTTGGGCAAAGGTCGAGTCCCAGGCATTGCAGAATTTATCATAAGATAACTAAAATGTCCTTGGGCTTTAAGTGAGAAATTGATGATTTGTCAGAACTCCCCCATGGGCTGGTGGTGTTGGCAGTCATAGAAGAGGCTCCTTTGCCTGCAGACAGGGGAAAGAAGATTAGAAAATGCTTTGTCTTATGCCTTAAGTGCCAGGTTAGCTACAGTAAAATAGAAGAGCAGGTAAATTGTGAAGATTCTATACTTTAATCTCTGGCTCCCAGATAGCATCTATGGACCCACTCATGGCTAGGGGAACTTGCCACCTTATAGGCAGAGACACAAACTTGGCTGGCTTTGCCATCTATTAATCATAGAGTCCTAGGGCTTTGAGTAAACTTATACAGTAGCCAAGCAGTGGTTACAGTGGGCCTTGGGTGAGACCAAGTTCTGTGCCTACTTCAGGTGTGAATCAGCACAGTCTCAGTGGTAGTGGCCACAGGGGTGCTTATGTTACCCAACTCCAGCTCCACATGCCTCAGCACAGGAAGAGAGACTCTGCTGGTTTGAGAGAAATTAAGGGAAGAGAACAAGAGTCTCTACTTGATAAATCAAGAGAATTTGTCTTCATGTTAATCCAAGGCCACCAAGTCAGTACCTCTATGTGTTTGCATAAACTACTGTGTTATTGGGTTGGGACCCAAGTCTCTTTGAATATCTGGAAAGTGTTCCCAAAAATAATGGGCACAAACAAGCCCAGACTCTGAAGACTACAATAAAGACTGAAGTCTTCAATGCTCAGATATAGATGAACATCTACAAGTATCAAGACCATCCAGGAAAACATGACCTCACCAAACAAGCTAAATAAGGCACCAGGGACAAATCCTGGAAAAACAGAGATATGTGACCTTTCATACAGGATATCCAAAATAGCTGGTTGAGGTAATTCAAAGAAATGCAATATAATACAGAGAAAAAATTCAAAATTCTATCAGATAAATTTAACAATGAGATTGAAATAAAAAGAATAAACCAGAAATTTTGAGGTTAAAATGCAATTGTCATAGTGAAGAATGCATCAGAATTACTTAAAAGCATTGATCAAGAAGAAGATAGATTTAGTAAACTTGAAGTCAGATTATTTGAAAATACAAAGTCAGAGGAGACAAAAAAGAATAAAATATAAGGCATGCCTACAAAATTTAAAAAATAGCCTCAAAATAGCAAATCTAAGAGTTATTGGCCTTAAAAAGGAGGTAGACAAAGAGGTAAGAGTTAAACATTTATTTAAAGAAATAGTGTTAAATAATATTAAACAATTCCCCAACATTCAATATCAACATTCGAGTACAAGAAAGTTACAGAACATCAAGCAGATTTAACCCAGAGAAGACCACTTCAAGGTACTTAACTGAACTCCCAAAGGTTAAGGATAAAGAAACGATTCTAAAAGCAGTGAGAAAAGAGAAACAAATAAAATTCAGTGGAACTCCAATACCTTTGACAGCAGACTTTTCAGGGGAAAATTTACAGGCTGAGAGAGTGGCATGATATATTTAAACAACTGAAGAAAAAAAAAGACTTTTACTTTAGAATAATGTATCTTGCAAAAACGTCCTTTAAACTTGATGGAGAAATAAGAACTTTCCCCGATGAACAAAAACTGAGGGATTTCATTAACACCAGACCTGTCCTACAAGAAATGCTAAAGGGAGTTCTTAATCTCAAAGAAAAAAAGTGAGTGAGCAATAAGAAATCATCTGAAGGTACAAAACTCACTAGTCATAGCACACGGAAAAACACAGAATATTATAACATGGTAATTATGGTGTGCAAAAATCTCAAATAGAAAGAGTAAACAATAAATCAATAAAAAAAACTACAACATATTTCCAAGACATAGACAGCAAAACAGGGAATGAGAAAAACAATAAAAAGTTTAAAAGAATGACAATGAAATTAAAGTGTAGAGTTTTTATCAGTTGCTTTTCTTGTTTCTTCATTTATGCAATCAGTGTTAAATTGTCCACAGTTTAAAATGATGTGTTACATTATTTTCAAGCCTTATGATAATTTCAAATCAAAAAGCATGCCACAGATGTACATAAAGTAAAAAGCAAGAAATTAGATTATATTATAAGAGAAATAACCTTCAATAAAAGGAAGACAGGAAGAAAGAAAAGAAGGATAAGAGGACAAAAATCAATCAGAAAACAAATAACAAAATGGCAGGAGTAAGTGCTTATCAATAATAACATTGAATGTAAATGAACTAAATACTCCAATCAAAAGACAAATAGTGGATGAACGGATAGAGGAGCAAGACAACAATTTGTGACCCAAAAAAATAAAATATACTTTACCTGTAAAGATACATTTAGACTGAAAATAAAAGGCTGGAAAAAGTTATTCTATCCAATAGAAACCAAAAAAGAGCAGAAATAGCTATACTTATAGCAGACAAAAATAGATTTCAACAAAAGATTGTAGGAAGAGATTAAGAAGGTCATTCTATAATAATAAAGAGATCAGTTCATCAAGAGGACATAATAACTGGAAACATATACACACCCAACATTAAAGCACTTAGATAAATGAAGCAAATATTATAAGAGCTAAAGAAAGAGACCTCAATACAATAATGGCTGGTCACATCAACACCCCACTTTAGTCATTTTATAGACCTTCCAGACAGAAAATCAACAAAGAAACATCAGACTTAATCTGCCCTATAGAACAAATGAACCTAATATATATTTACAGCAAATTTCATCTGACAGTTGCAGAATACACATTCTTCTCCTCAGCACATGGGTTATTCTCAAGGATAGACCATATGTTAAGTAACAAGTCTAAAAACATTCAAAAAACATTGAAGTAATATCAAGCATTTTCTCTGAACACAATGGAATAAAACTAGAAACAAATTAAACAATGAATTTCAGAAACTATACAAACACTTGGACATTAAATAATATGTTCCTGAATAATCAGTATGTCAATAAAAAAGTTAAAAAGAAAATAGAAAAATTTCTTGAAACAAATAATAATTAAAACATAGCATAGTAAAACCTATGGAATATAGTAAAAGAGCTACTATTATGAAAGGAAAATTTATAACTGTAAGTGCCTACATAAAAAACAGAAAAGCCTCAAATAAATAACCTAACAATACACCTTAATTAACTAGAATAAAAAGGCCAAACCAAACTCAAAATTAGAAGAAAAGAAATAATAGAGATTAGAGCAGAAATAAAGTTAAAATGAAGACAACAATGCCAACGATCAATGAAACAAAAAGTTGATTTTTTTGAAAAGTAAAACAATTGACAAATATTTAGACAGAGAAGATACAAATTAATAAAATCAGAGGTGAAAATGGAGACAATGCAAGTAACGCTTCAAAAAATCAAAGGATCATTAGTGGCTACTATGAGCAATCGTATGCCAACAAATTAGAAAACCTAGAGGAAATTACTTCTTTGACACACACAACTTACCAAGATTGAACTAGGAAAAAATCCAAAACCCTAACAGACCCATAACAAGTAACAAAACTAAACCCATAATAAAAAGTCTGTAGGACCAGACTGAAAAATAGATAAGGAAAGAAAATTTCCAAACTCATTCTTTGAGGCTAGTAATACACTGATATCAAAACCAGACAAAGGCACATTAAAAAAGCAAACTACGGGCCCATATCTGAGAATATTGATGCAAAAATTTGCAAAAATCCTAGCAAACTGCATTAAACAACACATAAATAGGTAAGTCATAATGACCAAGTGGGATTTATCCCAGAGATGCAAGGATGGTTCAACATGCAAATCAATCAATGTGATATATCATATAAACAGAATGAAGGGGTTGGGTGCAGTGGCTCATGCCTGCAATCCCAGTGCTTTGGGAAGCTGAGGTGGGCGGGTCATCTGAGGTCAGGAGTTCAAAACCGTCCTGGCCAACATGGTGAAACCCCATCTCTACTAAAAATACAAAAATTAGACAGGTGCTATGGTGGGCAAATGTAATACCAGCTTCTTGGGAGGCTGAGACAGGAGAATCACTTGAACCCTGGAGATGGAGGTTACAGTGAGCCAAGATCATGCCATTGCACTCCAGCCTGGGTGACAGAAGGAGACTTCATCTCAAAAAAATAAATAAATAAATAAATAAATAATAAATAAAACAGAATGAAGGACAAAATCCATATAATCATTTCAATTATACTAAAAATTTGATAAAACTTAATACTCTTTAATAATAAAAACCTTTGAAAACTGGGTATGGAATGAACATACCTCAACATAATAAAAGTCATATATGGCAGACCCATAGCTAGTATCATACTAAGTGGGGAAAAACTAAAATCCTTTTCTCTAAAATCTGGAAGATGACAAGAATATCCACTTTTACCACTGTTATTCAACATAATTCTGAAAGTCCTATCTGGAGCAATCAGATAAGAGAAAGCAATAAAACCATCCCAATTGGAAAAGAAGTCAAATTATCTTTTTTGCCAATGATACAATCTTCTATTTGAAAAAAAACATAAAGACTCCCCTGATAGGGTTTGAATGTGTGTCCCCTCCCACATTTCATATTTAAATGTAATTCTCAATGTTGGAGGTGGGCCTGGTGAAAGGTGATATAACCAACGGGGTGGAATACTCATAAATGGCTTAGCACCATCCCATTTGGTACTATCCTCATGATTGTAGGGAAAAGAAAGAGAGATCAGACTGTCACTGTGTCTATGTAGAAAGGGAAGACATAAGAGACTCCATTTTGAAAAAGACCTGTACTTTAAACAATTGCTTTGCTGAGATGTTGTTAATTTGTAGCTTTGACCCAGCCACTTTGCCCCAGCCACTTTGACCCAACCTGGAGTTCACAAAAACATGTGTTGTATAAAATCAAGGTTTAAGGGATCCAGGGCTGTGCAGGATGTGCCTTGTTAACAAAATGTTTACAAGCAGTATACTTGGTAAAAGTCATTGCCATTCTCTAGTCTCAATAAACCAGGGGCACAATGCACTGTGGAAAGCCGCAGGGACCTCTGCCCTTGGAAGCGGGATATTGTCCAAGGTTTCTCCCCATATGATAGTCTGAAATATGGCCTCATGGGATGAAAAAGACCTGACTGTCCACCAGCCCAACACCAGTAAGGGGTCTGTGCTGAGGTGGATTAGTAAAAGAGGAAAGCCTCTTGCAGTTGAGATGAAGGAAGGCCATTGTCTCCTGCTTGCCCCTGGGAACTGAATGTCTCGGTGTAAAACCCGATTGTACATTTGTTCACCTCTGAGATAGGAGAAAAGCTGCCCTGTGGTGGGAGGCGAGACATGTTTGCAGTAATGCTGCCTTGTTATTCTTTACTCCGCTGAGATGTTTGGGTGGACAGAAGCATAAATCTGGCCTACGTGCATGTCCAGGCATAGTACCTTCCCTTGAACTTAATTATGATATAAATTCTTTTGCTCACATGTTTTTTGTTGACCTTCTCCTTATTATCACCCTGCTCTCCTACTACATTCCTTTTTGCTGAAATAATGAAAACAATAATCAGTAAAAACTGAGGGAACTCAGAGGCCAGTGCCAGTGCAGGTCCTTGGTGTCCTGAGTGCTGGTCCCCTGGGCCCACTGTTGTTTCTCTATACTTTGTCTCTGTGTCTTATTTCTTTTCTCAGTCTCTTGTCCCACCCAACTAGAAATACCCACAGGTGTGGAGGGGCAGGCCACACCTTCAATGATAGTGAGTGAGTTCCCATAAGATCTGGTTATTTAAAAGTGTGTAACAACGTGCCTCTCTGTTTTTTGTTCTTGCTTTTTGCCCTGTGATGTGCAAGATTCTGCTTCAACTTCTGCCATGACTGTAAACTCCCAGAGGCCTCCCCAGAAGTGTATACCAGTGCTACATCTTCTCTACAGCCTGTAGAATCATGGGCCACTTAAACCTCCTTTTTAAAAGATAAATTACACAGTCTCAGGTATTTATAGTGATGCAAAAATAGATTAATACAGAAAATTCGCACCAAGGAGTGGAAAATTGTTATAAGAATAACTGAAAATGTGGAATCAGCTTTGTAATTGAGTAAACAGGCAGAGGTTGGAAGAGTTTGTAGGACCCAGAAGAAGACAGAAAAATGACAGAAAGTTGAGATTTTCTTAGAGACTGGTTGTATGGCTGTGACCAAAATGCTGATAGTGATCTGGACAGTGAAGCCTGGGCTGAGGAGGTCTCAGATGAAAATTAGAAACTTATTAGGACCAAAGCAAAGGTCATGCATGTCATCTTAGCAAACTGGTTGGCTGAATTTCTGTCATGCCCTAGGGATATATAAAAGTTTGAATTTGAAAGTGATGATTTAGGGTTTCTGTTGGAAAAATGTCTAAGCAGCAAAGCATTCAAGATGTGGCCTGGCTGCTTCTAACCACCTATGCTCAGATGTTGGAGAAAAAAAAAAGTTGTAACTTATACTTACAAGGGAAGCATAGTGTAAAATCTTGAAAACTTTGCAGCCTAGTCAAGTGGCAGAAAAATAAAAAGCTTTTATAAGAGAGGAAATCAAGCAGGCTGTGGAAGAACCACTTATTAGAGATATTTGTATAACCTAAAAAAAAAAAAAAGAAAGCAAGTGTTGATGGCCAAGGCAATGGGAAAGAGGAATTGAAAGCATTTTATCTACCTAAGAGGCAGCCCCCCATCACAGGCCCTGGGGCCTAAAAGAAAAGAATAGTTTCTGGGACCAGGCCCAGGACCTGCTGCCTTGGGTAGCCTTGGAACATGGCTCCCTGCATCCTGGTCACTGCTCCAGCTCCAGGTGTAGTGCAAATTGGCCCAGTTACAACTATAGTCACTGCTTCAGAGGGTGCAAGCCATAAGCCTTGGTAGCTTTCATGTGATGTTAGGCCTGAGGGTGTACAAAATGCAAGAGTTGAGATTTGGGAGCCTCCACGTTTATTTCAAAGGATGTATGAAAAAGCCAGAGTGTGCAGGCAGAAGCATGCTGCAGGGGTGGAGCCCTCATTGAGAACTTC
The DNA here is from genome assembly GCF_000001405.40 of Homo sapiens. Taxonomy (NCBI): domain Eukaryota; kingdom Metazoa; phylum Chordata; class Mammalia; order Primates; family Hominidae; genus Homo; species Homo sapiens. The sequence continues at coordinate 34,178,980 of NC_000012.12, read as the reverse complement.
TACTGAAACAATGCAGAGAAGAAATGTGGGGTTACAGTCCCCATGTAGGTCCCCCACTGGGGCATGGCCTAGTGAGGAGAGGATTCTGTGAGGAGAGGATCACTGTCCTCCAGACCCCAGAATGGTAGATCTAGCTACAGCTTACACCTTGCACCTGGAAAAGCCAGAGGAACACAAAACCAGCCAGAGGCACACAATACCAGCCCATGAGAGCAGCTGTGCAGGCTGAACCATGCAAAGCCAAAAGGTCAAAACTTCCCAAGACATTAGTGTGCCCTGGAAATGGGACATAGAGTCAAAAATAATTATTTTGGAGCCTAACAATTCAATAACTCCCATTCTGGGTTTCAGACTTGCATGGGTGCTGTGGACCCTTCCTTTTAGCTGATTTCTTCCTTTTAGAATAGGAGTATTTACCCAATGCCTATGTCCCATTTTTATCTTGGAAGTACCTAACTTTTTTTTTATTTTATAGGCTTATAGGAGTAAGAAACTAGCTTTGTCTTAGGTGAGACTTTTGACTTTTGAGTTAAGGCTGAAATGAGTTAAGACTTTGGGGATTATTGAGAAGTCATGATTGTATTTTGAAATATGAGAAGGATATGAGATTTGGAATGGCCAGTGGCAAAATGATATAGTTTGGTTATGTGTTCCCACCAAAATCTTATATTGAAATGTAATCCTCAATGTTGGAAGTGGGCCTAGTGGGGAGGTGATTGAATCATGAGGGCAGGATTTCCATGAATAGTTTGGCATCATTTCCTTTGGTACCATTCCCACAATAGTAAGTTTTCAGGAGAGCTGGTCATCTACAAGTGTGTGTAGCATTTTTCCCCTGCCCTCACACTTACCATGTGATGTGCAAGCACCAGATTTATTTTTCACCTTGATTGTCAGTTGTCAGAGGCTTCCCCAGAAGCAGAAGCCAGTGCTATGCTTTCCGTACAGCCTGTAGAACATGAGCTAATTAAACCTATTTTCTTTATAAATTAACCAGTCACCAATTATTTTTGTAGCAATGTGAGAATGGTCTAATATATCCACCAAAAAACTATTAGAAGAAATAACGAGTAAATTTGCAGAATACAAAATCAACATATAAAAATCAGTAGGATTTCTATATGCCAACAGTCAACAAGCTGAAAGAGAATTTAAAAAATATTCCTATTTGCAATAGCCACAAATAAAACATAATGTATGGGAATTTACCAAAGAAATAAAAGTTCTCAACAATTAAAACTGTAAAACACTGATAAAAGAAATGAAAGAGGACACACAAAAAAATGGAAAGATATTTCTTTGTTCACAGATTGGAAGAATCAGTATTTTTAAAAATGTCCATACAATCCATAGCAACCTATACATTTCATGCCATCTCTATCAAAATAACAATGACATTCCTCACAGAAATAGAAAAAAAATTCTGAAATATATATGGAACCACAAAACACCATAATAGTCAAAGCTATGCTGAGTACGTAAAATAAAACTGGAGGAATCCCATTACCTGGTTTTAAATTATACTATCAAGCTATAGTAATTATACTATCAAGCTATACTATCAAGCTATAGTAATTAAAACAGCATGACACTAGAATAAAAACAGACATAAAGACAAATGGAATGAAATAGAAAACTTAGAAACAAACTCATACAGCTAAACTAAACTTATTTTCAACAAAACAAACTCATACAGCTAAACTAAACTTATTTTCAACAAGAACATACAATAAAAAATAAGACAGTTTCTGTAATAAATAGGGCTGGGAAAACTGGCAAGCCATAGGCAGAAGAATGAAACTAGAACCCTATTTCTTGCCACATACAAAAATCAAATTAAAGTGAATTAAAGACTTAAACCTAACACCTCATACTATCAAACTTCTACAAGAAAACATTGGAGAAACTCTCTAGGGCATTGGTTTGGGCAAAAAAATTCTTAAATAATGCCCCGTAAGCACAGACAACCAAAGCAAACATGGACAGATGGAGTTACAGCAAGTCAGAAAGCTTTTTCAAAGTGAAGGAAACAATAAACAAAGTGAAGAGAAAATCCACAGAAAGGGAGAAAATATTTTTAAATTACCCATCTGAAAAGCAATTAATAGCTACATGATATGATTAGGCTTTGCGTCCCCATCCGAATCTCATATTGAATTGTAATCTCCAGATGTTGAGGGAGAGACCTGGTAGAAGATGATTGGATCATGGAAGTAGTTTCCCCCATGCTGTTCTTCTGATAATTAGTGAGTTCTCCTGAGATCTGATGGTTTTATAAGGGGCTCTTACCCCTTTGCTTCACATACATGCTGTCTCGCCTGCTTTCATATAAGAGGTGCCTGCTTCCCCTCCTGCCGTGACTGTAAGTTTCCTGAGGTCTCCCCAGCCATGTGGAACTATGAGTCAATTAAACCTATTTCCTTAAAAATTTTTCACCAGGTGCAGTGGCTCACACCTATAATCCCAGCACTTTGGGAGGCCGAGGCAGGTGGATCATAAGGTCAGGAGTTCAAGACCAGCCTGGCCAAGATGGTGAAACCCTGTCTCTACTAAAAGTACAAAAACTAGCTGGGCATGGTGGGCGGTGCCTGTAATGTAATCCCAGCTACTCAGGAGGCTGAGGCACAGAATTGCTTGAACCCGGGAGGCAGAGGTTGCGGTGAGCCAAGATCATACCACTGCACTCTAGCCTAGGCGACAGAGCAAGTCTTCATCTCAATAAATAAATAGATAAATAAATAACCCAGTGTCTGTTTTTTTATAGCAGTGTAGAAACAGACTAATATACTGCAATATATTGAGTTCAAAAAATTCTACAGAAAAAATGTAGTAATCTAATTAAAGAGTGGACAAAAAATTTAAGTAGACATTTATGGAAACAAGACAGACAAATGGTAAACAGGCAAATGAAAAGGTGCTCCACATTACTGATCATCATAGAAATGCAAATCAAACCCAAAATGAGATATCATTTCACCCCAGTTAAGGTGGCTTTTATCCAGAAGTCAGTCAAAAACAAATGCTAGAAATAGCCAAGATTTGGAAGAAACCTAAATTTCCATAAACAGATGACTGGATAGAGAAAATGTGGTACATATACACAATGGAGTACTATTCAGCTATAAGAAAGAATGAGAGTCTGTCATTTGCAATAACATAAATGGAACTGAAAGTCTTTGTGTTAAGTTAAATAAGTCAGGTACAGAAAGACAAATGTCACATGTTCTCACTTATTTGTGGGTGCTAAAATTCAAAACAATTGGTGTCATAGAGATAGAGAGTATAAAGGTGGTTACCAGAGGCTGGGAAGGGCAGTGGGGGTAGAGGGGAATAGTGGGGATGCTAAATGTGTGCAAAAAATTGTTAGAAAGAATGAATAAGACAGTATTTGATAGCACAACAGGGTGATTATAGTCAAAAATAATATTTACATTTTATAAAAACTAAAAGAGTATAATTGGATTGTTTATAACACAAGCTATAAATTCTTGAGGGGATGGATACCCCATTTTTTATTATGTATTACTCATTGCATGCCTGTATCAAAGTATGCCATGTACCCCCATATATATATACACTGGCTATGTACCCACAAAAATAAATTAAAAATTAAAATTAAAACCAAAGAGAGGACGAGAGTATAATGAGGCATGTGTGACCCATGGCTTGAACTAGTTTTCAGGTTAACTTTAAAATGTCCTTATCCAAGAAGAGGGGTCCATTTAGTCAGTAGGGGCTTAGAGATTAATTTTTAGTTTATAAGTGGAAAAAAGAAGAATTTTTAATCCTGAGCCATAGCTCTCAGTCAATCAATCCCTGCAGGGAACCCCTTTCTTTACTCTGGACATAAACACTATTTTTCTTTTCCACTGAATGACACCACATTTCAAAATGATGGGAAACATCTTGAAACTAAGAGGTACAACCTTATTAAATTTGATTTGATTTCAATTGTAATTAATTTAATCACATGTGTTCCAGAGTTTCTCCTCAGTCTTCTACTTTAGGCCCATGATCTGTTGAATTTGCTCAGCTCCCTGCTCAACAGCAGGAAATCAGTTAGAATTATTTAAAAACTTCATTGTGGCTGGGAGTGGTGGCTCATGCCTGTAATCCCAGCAATTTGGGAGGCCAAGGTGGGCAGATCACTTTTTGTCAGGGGTTTGAGACCAACCTGGCCAACAGAGTGAAACCCCGTCTCTTCTAAAGATACAAAAATTAGCTGGGTGTGGTGATGCATGCCTGTAATCGCAGCTACTTGGGAGGCTGAGGCAGGAGAATCGATTGAACCTGGGAGGCAGAGGTTTCAGTGAGCCAAGATGGTGCACTGCACTCCAGCCAGGGCAACAGAGAAAGACTCTGTCACAAAATAGTAATAATAATAATTAATTAATTAAACTCTCATTGTGTTTCAAACAAAATTTCTTTTGAATATCAACTGTATCAACTTGCATATTAACTATAATCACTTTGTTTACTTTACATCCAATCCTGAGAAATCTTTGAGGACTAATTTCACCCTTTTCTGCCATTTTGGTAAACATACCAAATTCCAACAAACAAAATGCACAAAATTCCTGAGAAATACACTTTGTCCTTGAGAAGTAGACTTGCTGTGTTAGAGGAACTCATGGTTACCAAGCTTCTAGTTTAATAAACATGACTAGAATATTCAATGTTAATATGAGTACCTAGGTACTCACAAGGCATCTAGAAGGTTAATACTTATGGTCTGAAAATAGCCACATTTTTTAGCTGGCCATAAATTACAATTGCAGAACATTTATGGCCATATAAGACATCTTCCACCAAGCCTGAAAAATGTGTAAATGTCCTAGGAGTGCAGCATTTTTTCTTAAAGATAATATAAATGAGCTAGCTTAGGTCAACAGGTTAATGGTCATTGTTAAAACCAATAGCCCCTGACTTTAGTGAGTACATCTGCACCTTCCAAGTTTAATTAGAATTCTTTCTCTTTATAGTTACTTATAAGTAGAGACACTAACAAAAGACAACACATTCCTGCTCTTGTTTTCTGAGGGTGTCCAACTCTGTAATGGAGTCATTTCTAATAAACTTGCTTCTTTCACTGTGCTCTCTGACTCACCTCAAATTTTTTCCTGCACATGATCTAAGAATCCTACTTTGTGCTCTGTATCAGGACGCTCTTCCAGCAACATTTTTCAGCAACACCATGAAGGGACACCAAGACAAGACCCCTACTCCAAGGAAAACATTCCACACAGAATCAATCAGCTGGCAAGTGGGCCATCTTTTAGAGTCGTGAAGCCATTCAGGTGGGCAAGAATGATTATCCACCATTACGTTAAGTGAGAGACCCTAGGGTATAATGTTCAGGTGAGAGACTCAGTCCAAAAAGTTAGAGAGTTGGGGGTGTCATACTCAGATTAGAGGCCAAGCTTACAAGGTTAGAGTCCCTGGGGTATATTGAGAAGAATGGATTTGGCTAAACAAGATGTTTGCCACTTTCTCTTTTTGGACTGTCCACCTTGTGCTCTCTGTCCCTCACCTGAGTGCTCTGCATCTTGTCACCTTTCTGCTCACTGCCTGTGTTTTGTGGTAGCCTATAGGCTGCCCCAGGAAAGAGGCCCCAAACAGTTTAGCTTTTACTTTCCTCAATGACCCTCTGACTTTTAGCTGATTGCTTATTTAATTTGCCACTGATCCAAGTGACACTGAAAAAAAGAGATGTCTTGGAACCTAGTATTTTTGTACCTTAATTATCAGAAAAAATCAGCAATAACCTCTCCATCATTATGACTAGAAGTTGGAATGTGATATTTAACAGCCCTACATGATAAGTTCATATATGCCTGTTTAGTGACAGCCTCTTTTATGACAATCCTCTGCAAATGATTAGCCTCAAGATGGAGAACATGAAACTTTTTCTTAACAGTTTTCTCTCATTTCTTAACCATAAGGTCATCTTTGATGAGCTGGTGTAGCGCAGCTGGACCCTACTTTCTAAACCCACCCAGCATGTCACTTTTTCCCTGAAAGATTTTTGTCAGTTTTGTCATGGCAGTGCGAAAATGGACTCATACATTACAATACACAAGTTACAGCCTTCTCATTTCCCCTGTTTGGTCTGACTCCTTTTTTTGAAGCTTAATTAGTTTTACAGAAGAGAAACTAAGTGGGAGGAAATATATTATATACAGGCTTCTCTAATGCTTGGTCAGGATAAAAAATTAAAATGGGCTTCTATATGTTCGATGGAGGAAAAGACAAAATAGGGATGGCTCATAATTGATTACCCTTTTAATGCAAGTGCCTCTTAATATTAGGCTTTTCTTAGCTGGGGCTGAACTCTCCCCTGCCAGTCCAAGCACCCAATAAGAACACAGTCAGACTCCTTCCAGTTCTGTTGAGGTGTGCAACATGTTATTAATTCCTTCTAGTATTCCAGGGTTATCTAGTGTCCAGTCATCATCTTCTCCCTGCCCTTCGAGTCGTGTCTTACATACATACCCCGCTCTCGAAACACCCGAGCTTCACAAGAACAACCTGCAGTGGGCCCTCTTATCAGCTGACAAAGTTGAATTTTTGCCCTCTCTGGGAAGTGACAGGTGATAATAGGGACACTCTATAGGTATATGTACCCTTTACTATGTCTGAATTAGCCATATGCAAGGAAAGACTAAAATAGTTTTCAGAGGTTCTAGGAAAATTCATAGACAAATTTAAGCAGGCAAGATTTGCATATATTTATGTTTACCTGCTGCATGGTAGAAAAGCAGTGTATTATGGGAGTGGCTAGAGCTAATAGGGTGGCAGCCTGCAACCAGGTACATGGCACCTATCAAGTAGGAGGCACAGCAGTGCCTGACAAGGACCCAAAAGACAACTAGAATCTAGAAAAGAGAAATGAATTAGGAAGAAAGTGGGATATATAGAGAAAAAATAATGATTATTTGACTCCTTGAAGGAATAAAAAAAAGTGTGATAAAGCTTTTTAATTTTTATAAAGTCTGGAAAATTACTCAGGGAAAAGATGAAATCCTAGCCTTATTACAAGGGTGGATAATTTAGACCTTGAGGAAATACACTAACACTGCCCCTGACTCCAAGAAGGGACAGGCATTGCAGCATTGCTAGTTTATTTTATAGCCCAGGCTGCTTCTGATATCTGCAGGAAGCCGCCAAAAGCAGTCTTAGGCTTCCAGACTCCCACGGATCAGCTTTTAGACTTGGCTTTTGCAGTTTTCCATCACAGGAATAGGACAGAGAAGACATAAAATAAAGCAAATCTCACAAGAGGCCCAGCTTCTAGCTGCAGCCTTGTGCTCTCCACCACTTCAGAGGCAGCCCCTTAACCCCTGGCCCTCACACAGGAAGTGAAAAGGTAAAAGCCCCAGTCTGTGCCTCTGGGCCACTATGCCTTGGATATAAATCAATGTGCCTTCTCTAAGAAGGTCAGCCACTGCGGAAGGAAATGCACTGCGCTTCCAAGGGAGCCATCATCAGAGCCCAGCAGATCCCAAAGTGGTAGGGCCTGATACTTCTTGCCTCCGCTCCCATTGGACTATTAGCTATCCAGAGATGGAGGAGCCTCAGGTGACTCTTGAAGTGGCAGGTAGGAGTATTAACTTCTTATTAGGTGTGGGAGCAGATGACTGTTCTGATTCAATACAAGGGCTCCTGTCTTCTCATGATGGACAAGCCCAAAAACACTGCCTTTCTTATCTTCTAAGTTGTCCTCCAGGGCCTCTGGGTTTCTCACCTGCCTTTTTAGTACTTTCTGAATGCCTGACCTCTTACTGGGGAGAGGTTTATTGACTCAGGAGACCAAGTCATGGTCACCTTCACAGATCATAAAGCAGAGAAAGTGTTACTTTTGTTCCTGACCCCTCAGGGGAAAAAAGAAGTTAAGAATGAGCTGTCACATTTACCACCTGAGGTGTTGTCTCAAGTAAATCCTGAGGTTTGGGCCACACAGGCTCTGGGAAACGCACTAAACACCTCCCTCATCCAAATCCAACTTAAGCCTAGTGCTCCTCGCCCTCAGAAGAGACAATACATTTTAAGGCAAGAAGCATGCGAGGAAATTCAAATCCTTGTGTTTTTTTTTTTTTTTTTTTTTTTTTTGAGACGGAGTCTCACTCTGTCACCCAGGGTGGAGTGCAGTGGCACAATCTCGGCTCACTGCAAGCTCCGCCTCCCGGGTTCACGCCATTCTCCTGCCTCAGCCTCCCGAGTAGCTGAGACTACAGGTGCCCACCACAATGCCAGGCTAATTTTTTTTTTTTTTTGTATTTTTAGTAGAGACGGGGTTTCACCATGTTAGCCAGGTTGGTCTTGATCACCTGACCTCGTGATCTGCCTGTCTCGGCCTCCCAAAGTGCTGGGATTACAGGAGTGAGCCACCATGCCCGGCCTCAAACCCTTATTGCTAAATTCTTGCCATATGAGTTATTAAGGCCATGAGAGTCTCCTTACAATACTCGCATGTTACCAGATGAAAAGCCTAATGGCAATTATAGATTTGTCAGAAACCTTAGAGCATTAATAAATGCAGTTGTCTCCGTACACCTCATTGTCCCCAATACTTACCCAAGTCCCAGGGGATGCAAGCTGGTTTACATTCTTAAACCTGAAAGACTCATTTTTCTGCATCTCAATGCATCCAGATTCACAATATGTTTGCCTTTGAATGGACTGATCCAGATACGCATTCAGCCGCAAAATTAACCTGGACTGTCATCTCTGAAGGGTTCTAGGATAGCCCCCACTTATTAGAAAATGCTCTAGCTAAGGACTTAAGAAATCTACAATTGGAAAGGGACACAATTATTCAGTATGTAGGTGACTTGCTCATTGCTAGCCCAACTAAAGAAGACTCAAATAATACTGTTAAACTGGTAACTTTCCTGGGAACTTACAGATATAGGGTATCACCATACAGGGCTCAGATTTTGACTAAAAGACTTAAATATTTGGAATCTGTCTTAACCTCTGGAACTGATCAACATCCCTAGAAGATAAAAAAGTTGTTTTAGTCATCCAAGGGTCCCAGTCCAACAAATGACTGTGGGCTTTTTTAGGAGATGTCTGGGTACTGCTGCTTATGGGTGCCCAGATTGGGACATGTAGCCAACCCTTTATATGATACACTAAAGGGAATGATTTACAGCTCCTAGAATGTAATTAGAACTGCAAGCAAACCTTCAATACTCTCAAGGAGAAATTGGGCTTTGCTGCAGCTGTGGGAGTCCCCAAGTTGGATGAACCATTTTTGCTTTATGTAGCCAAAAAGCAAGACACAGGCCTTGGGTAATCTTGTCCCAAAATGGGAACATTCCAAGGCCAGTAGCCTAATTTTCTAAGAAGATAGACCAGGTGGCCTCAGGATGGCCTTGATGTCTTAGAGCTATTGCTGATACAACTTTTCTAGTAGGCAAAGCTAATAAACTAACATTAGGACAGCACCTACAGGTTTTTGACCTCACACCAAGGGAAGGTGGTCCTGGAAGATAAAAGTCACCAGTGGATAATAGGAGAATATTTATGAAAGTATCAGGCCTTATTGCTAGACACTCCAGACATAACCTTTAAAGCCTGACAAACCATAAACCCAGCTACTTATCTGCCAGAGTCCACAGGTGCTCCCAGCCTTTCTGGCATACAGGTTGTATTAGTCTATTCTCATGCTGCTAATAAAGACATATCTGAGGCTGGGTAATTTATAAAGAAAAGAGGTTTAATTGACTCACAGTTCCACATGATTGGGGGGCCTCACACTCATGGCAGAAGGCAAATGAGGAGCAAAGTCACATCTCTTACATGACAGCAGGCAAAAGAGCTTGTGTAGGGAAATTCCCCTTTATAAAACCATCAGCTGTAATCCCATCGCTTTGGGAGGCCAAGGCAGTGGATCACCTGAGTCAGGATTTTGAGACCAGCCTGGCCAACATGGTGAAACCCCGTCTATACTAAAAGTACAAAAATTAGCCAGGCGTGGTGGTGGGTGCCTGTAATCCCAGCTACTCGGGAGGCTGAGACAGGAGAATCACTTGAACCCAGGAGTCAGAGGTTGCAGTGAGCCAAGATCATGCTACTGCACTCCAGCCTGGGCAACAGAGAAAGACTATGTCTCAAAAATAAATAAATAAATGAAAACCATCAGATCTCATGAGGCTTATTCACTGTCATGAGAACAGCATGGGAAAGACCCATCCCCCAATTCAATTACCTCCCACTGGGTCCCTCCCATGATATATGGGAGTTATGGGAGCTACAATTCAAGATAAGATTTGACTGGGGACACAGCCAAAGTATGTCACGGGTTATAAAACAAATTTATTCTAGGAGGCCAGACTTAAGAGAGATGAGCCCCTTGACCATCCCAAGGAAGAGTGGTTAACAGATGCAAGTTGTTTTATGCATCAGGAAAACAGAAGGACTAGATATACTATTATTAGTCAGCACAAGAGAATCAAGGCACAAGTATTGCTGGTCTCTACCTCAGCTCAAAAAGCTGAGTTAATTGAACTTACTAGGCCCCTGCAGTTGGGAAAGGATTTAAAAGTTAACATTTACACTGATTCCAAGTATGATTTTTTTAGTGCTTCATGTTTACGCTGCAATTTGGAATGGATAGGAACTCCTGACCTCCAAGGGCTTTTCCATACAACATCATTCAGATTTTGAGCTTGTTAGAATGCTGCTTTGCTGCCAAAAATGACTATAATTAATTGCAGAGGACCTCAAAAGATAGACTGACCATGTAAAAGGAAATGCCCTTGTAGACACCACAGCCAAGGCCCCTGCACTGAAAGGGCCAAAGAAGCTTATGGGCGTGCTGGTCAGCATACATAGAACTGGGCCAGAATACTCTGAAGAAGAACAAAAATGGGCCAGGGTTTGCAGTTCAGTCCAGGACCCCTGTGGCTGGCTGAATGATGGTAATAAATTACTAACGCCAAGTACCAATCATAGGAAAATAATTCAGCACTTTTATGATTCTTTTCACCCTAGAAGGGATTTTTTGTTTCTGTTAATGTCTCATTTGTTTATGGGGGTAAATCTTTTCAAGACACTAAAACAGGTGACTCAGTCCTGTGAGCTCTGTGCTGACATGACCCAAATGGCCAACAATTTTCTCCTTCTCCAGTTAAACCTAACACTGAGGAACCTATCCAGGTTAGAACTGGCAACTCTAATTTACTCAGATGCCTTTCTGCAGGAGATTCAAATATTTGCTAATGCTTACTGATACCTTCACTGGTTAGATCGAGGCATTCGCCACCCATCTGAAAAATGTTTACCAGAAGAAATAATTCCTCAGTTTGGGTAATCTAAAAGCCTGCAAAGTGGCAATGGCCCATCTTTCACAGTAGGCATATCCCAATACCTATCCTCAGCTTTAAGAATCCAATATTACTTTCACTCTGCCTGGAGACTGCAGTCCTCTGGAAAGGTGAAAGGGCTAATCCTACTGTAAAGAAGACTAGCTAAATCAAAGGCCTGACTATCTCTGACCCCCATAGCTTACTGAGGGTTTGAACTGCTCCAAAGTTAAACTTATAATTAAGTCCTGTTGAGTTAACATATGGAAGGCCTTTCCTAACCACAGATCTCCTAATAGATGAAAAGACTCATCAATTACAAAAATATGTCACCAATCTAGGACAGGTGCAAAGGCACTCTGTGAATATGGAAACAAGAGTCTTCCCCTCCCCCATGGGAGGAACATTCAGTTTCAGCTCAGCTAGGGATTTAGTCCTACTAAAGACATGGGAGGAAGTTCTCCAGCTGACCAGCTTTCCCCAACGTGGAAAGGACAACAGCAAGGCCACCTGAGCTCTCCAACAGACGTTCAACTCCAAGGGATTCAGAGGTGGGTACACCTGTGAGGAAGTAAAGCTGTTGCTTATTCTGGGAGCCCAATCCGAGGTTGAGGGAGGTGGGCGTGGGGCTATTTCAGCGTTGGCGGAGGGCGGGCTGGGTCACTGCGCGTCTGCTCCTCCTCGCGTTTCTCCTGCCGCCCTAATCCTGCCTTGGCCATGAGGGAGATAGCGTTCACGCAGACTGGGCAGTGCGGGAACCAGATCGGCGCCAAGGTTGGCAGCCGGGGCTCTGAGGGCCCAGCTCGGGCCTGCCGGGTGGCCAGAGAAGATGTTGGTAGTGGCAGTGGCAGGGGTGGCGCCCCTGCGTTTGCGGCCCCTGGGCTCCCTGCTGGGGACGCGGTGGAACTGGCCGGCTGGCGAGACGGCCAGTGTGGACCTCAGGGACACTGCGGCCTAGGGATGGGGGTGCGGGTGGGGGTGGGAGAGGGACTGGGGCGCCTCCGGCGTCCTGGCCTCCTGACTCAGCCCTGGCTCGTCTGGCCCCTCCAATCTCTTGCAGTTCTGGGAGGTGAACTCTGATGAACATGCCATCGACTCCGCAGGCACCTACCACGGGATCAGTGACCTGCAGCTGGAGCGTATCAACGTGTACTACAATGAGGCCAGCGGTGAGACCCCAGTCCTTCCCCAACCACTCTCCTGGGAACGGCGACCCTCCCCTCGCTAATGCTCTCCGGTCCCACTCAGGTGGCAGGTACGTGCCCCGCACTGTGTTCATGGATCTGGAGCCAGGCACTATGGACTCTGTGCGCTCGGGGCCCTTGGGGCAGATCTTCAGGCCAGACAACTTCATCTTTGGTGAGCTGCGGGTGAGGACTGGGGTGCAGCTCCTTAGCCAGGGTAGCTCAAAATCTAGGAGTGCCCCAAGGTCATCGTTGTGGGAACTGTGGAGCCAGGGCCACTGAACACCCTCCTATCCTCCCACTAGCTCAATCTGCCTCTCCTAAACGGGCTTTGGGAGGAACCCCCAGGTGTCTCCTCAAGGTGAGGAGCTACTGATGTAAACTCCCTGTAGGCAGCTGAGCTGGGGCCGTGGCTACTGCCTTCTCTGGAAATGGGCAGGAGCCACCTGCAGTGAGGTCTGTTAGCCTGTCTCAGGTTTGGCTCCTGATCTAATTTCTAACAGGGGAGGCTGCTGTCCTGTAACTCTGGGGTAGGGGGTTTCATTTGCTCCACCTGCAGGGTGAATGGTGCTCTCACCTCACACGTGACACTTGGAGCATTTTGCATTGTGGTGACCACTGATGACCATATACCTGGCCATTGAGTGACTGACTGTACTGTCTTACAGGTCAGTGTGGGGCCAGAAACAACTGGGCTAGGGGGCACTACACAGAAGGCGCGGAACTGATGGAGTCAGTGATGGACATTGTCAGAAAGGAGTCTGAGAGCTGTGACTGCCTGTAGGGTTTCCAGCTGACCCACTTCCTGGGTTGGGGGACTGGGTCTGGGATGGGTACCCTTCTCATTAGTAAGATCCGGGAGGAGTATCCAGACAGGATCATAAACAAATTCAGCGTCCTACCCTTGCCCAAGGTGTCAGACATCGTTGTAGAGCCCTACAGTGCTCTCAGTCCACCAGCTCATAGAAAATGCCCATGAGACCTTTTGCATAGATAACGAAGCTCTATACAACATATGTTCCACTACCCTAAAACTGCCCACACCCACCTATGGTGACCTGAACCACCTGGCGTCTGCTACCATGAGTGGGGTCACCACATGCCTGTGCTTTCCAGGCCAGCTGAATGCTGACCTGTGGAAGCTGGTGGTGAACTTGGTCCCATTTCCCCAGCTGCATTTCTTCATGACTGGCTTTGCCCCACTGACCAGCCAGGGCAGCCAGCAGTACAGGGCCCTGCCCGTGGCTGAGCTTACCTTACCCAGCAGATGTTTGATGCTAAGAATATGATGGACACCTGTGACCCCCGCCATGGCCATTACCTAATGGCAGCAGCCATTTTCAGGGGTCACATCTCCATGAGGGAGGTGGATGAACAAATGTTCAACATTCAAAATAAGAACAGCTACTTTGACTGGCTCCCCGATAACAAAAACAGCCGTCTGTGACATCCCACCCCAGGGGCTAAAAACATCGTCCACTTTCATTGGAAACAACACAGCCATCCAAGAACCCTTTAAGCGTGTCTCAGAGCAGTTTACAGCAATGTTCAGGTGCACGGCCTTCCTCCACTGGTAAACGGGTGAGGGCACATACGAGACAGATTTCACGGAGGCCGAGAGCAATGTGAACGACCTTGTGTCGGAATATCAGCAATATCAGGATGCCACAGCTAACGAGAAGTTTGAGGAGTATGCTGAGGAGGAGGTGGCCTAGAACTTTCCTTTCCTGGGTAAAGGGGGGAAGCAGTGTGGATTCTTTACCGTGTTCTGACAGCCATATGTCACTATGCACTTGTTCATTTTTGTCTTCCCATCTCCTCCTGCTGCATTTTGAAGCACTTTTATAGTATGCGGTTTTGCCTAATAAAGTATTCTCATAGCATCTGGTTTCACCTCCAACTTCTTTCTATAGGCCCTGTGGCTACTGCTGCCAGATGTGCATAGTTGTCCTGCAAGGCTGAAGCTGTCTGGGCTTATCACATGCCCAGGAACAAGCATTCCAGTGGCTCCAGGAGGGGTCAGCATGGGCTGTGGACATGGCAGGCAGGCTTCACACGAACTTGGGGATGCCCTAGGTCTTGGGCAGCTATGTGGCAGAAAACCTGTTCCTGAAGGCAAGCCTTGGCTTATCCCATGTACCAAACTTCCAGGGGAACAGCTGGCCCTCTGTTCCTGGAACTTTAAAAGTGGTCAGTGACCCTGGTGGACAATGTCCCCAAAGTCCCACCTCAGGGTAGGGATGTGGTCAGACAGCTGGTTCTGAACCAGCAATGAGGGGTGGGCAAGTAGGACCCCAGCCACTCCATCACCATGAAGGCCTGGGTGTGTTTGTGTGGCCTCATTCTCTTAATGAGATAGGCATGGGATATCTGGCAGGGACTAGTGGGTAGGAATCGAACCCTATGTAGAAGGGGATTAGGTCCTGGGGGCCATAGATGGCAGTTGCTGGGCCTGTGTGCTGGGGGCAGTCTCTCCAAAGGCACAGATGGGGTTTCTGAACAGGATCTGAGGAGACAGGCAGGTGCTCACAAGTGCTGCTTCCCCCAACCGGCAACCAGTGAGAAAAACGTCTGAGTGGAGGTCTGACCTGCCCCAGTCTGGATGGCTGATGCTCTCTGGAAAGGTGGCTAATGTGCAGTGTCTGCTCTCTCCCTATCCCCCACTCCAAAACTTCAGGGCAAAGATAAGATTGTCAGGATGAGACTGGTGAGGCTGGCACCTTTGGGGATAGGCCCTTTAGCCTGGCAGAGTCTCCTTCCCAGGCTTCTCAGGGAGCCTGGACTTCAAAGCCTGCTTTGGGGAAGCTTCAAATAAGAGATGTGTGTGTCAGCTGGGTGCTGGGCAGCATGCCAGGACAGTGCTGTTTTACCTGGCTCTTGTAGAACTTGTTCACAGCCTGTGTGATGACCTCTTGGTAATTCCCACCCCACCCCCATCACACAGAAAAGATGAAGCCAGCATAGCCTGGGGGTGGGCAGATGAACAGGTTCTACCCCAGGACCCCCGGACATACACCTGCCTAACATGTGTCAGAGAAAAGAGGTGAGGCTCCTTTCTTTTCTCTGAATGTTGGCAATGGCCTATTGCAGCCAAATGGGAACAGGCTGGCAGGAGAGTGCCTCATCTCGAAAGAAGTGGCTCCTGGAAGCAGCTGGGAGGAGGGAGAGGTCCACCATACTCCCCCAGCCTGTTCTCAGAGCAGGCAAAGGGGCCTCTGTAATAGCCCTCCTCAATGGCTCTCACCCTCTGAGGGGTGTCCTTGCCCACTCCAGGTGTGCACCCATCTGAGATGGCTTCCCATGGATCTGTTTGGGAAGGTTCAGCTGCAGCAACCACTGGAACCTGCCCACACCTAGCGTCTCCACTCACATGTGGGGTCAGATGTTCCTCCCTCCTGTAGTGGTACAGCCAGAGTGGCAGAGGGGGCAAGTCACGGCTGCAGTTCCCACCTGGGTCTGAGTGGGGGGGTCAGGCTTGGTACCCATGTATTTCCTAATTACCTGGTTCCATCTGGGGCACAGGAGTGGTGCTTTTCCAGGCCTCTTTTCCATATGCCAGCTACAGGCCCAGGTTTCCAAAGTTTCTGGAGCCCCCCTTCCAGCCTGGCAAGTATGGCATGTTGTGGGGGAAGGACATCCAGCCTACAGGCAGCAGAACCTGTCTGGGTATGTTCTCTTCACCTGGAGGCCCCTGGTTGTTTACCTCTTTGGGTGAGAGTCAGCTTAGGATCTCAACATTCTTGCAGGACTTCAGAACTGTACAGACAAGGGCCCAGGAGGGAGCAGGGGCTGGGACTGGCAGCTAACCAGTGTAGTTGGGGGTTGTAGGGCTCAGTTCGGTCTTGCAGGGAATTCACGGAGGCTTGGATTTGTGGAAGCTCTAGATGAGCTTGGGCTTGGATATGGAAATAGCATAGAGCCCGGGCCCTTCTGCATGCTGCAGTCTGAGTAGCTGCACCCTGGTGCATCCATAGGTGTTCCCCACCTGGAGCACAGCTGTGGATAGAAGCCAGGAGAGCTGTGGAGGGAAGAGGAGGAGGAGGAGGAGGAGGAGGAGGAGGCAGAATGATTCTCAGAGCAGCCAGGCAGGGCCTCTGCAAGTGAGATGCAGGTCTAGCCTCTTGGCCACTTAGCAGCTGCTTGGCCAGATGCAGGTCACCTGACCCCTGCTCACCAGTAAATGGGGGTTGCAGAAGCACTTACCTTCTGGGACTTCTGCAGCTTGAAGGGACAGCACACACACCACGTGCTGAGAAAGTGCCTAACTCAGGCAAGCTTCTCCAAGAGCACCACATCAGGTTAACATCCAACCTGTACAGGATACCAATAAATCTCCTCATCCCTCATTCCAACTGTAAGAAAAGGGAGTCTCTGTCCTAGGGGAGCAAGCACAGGTATATCGATGCAGTGGGCACATGGCCCAGGTTGGGGAAAGGCCCTTGGGTACATGCTGGTTTCACCAACAATCTCTGTGGTGGATTTGGCCTGGATCCCTTTACCCCAGGAGGCTAGTACCCCCCTGCATGGGACAGGACTGGGAGGTGGGTGGGAGGGCTGAGCTTTGAGGGAAGCCATTATTTGGCCTCATGGGAAGTGGTGCAGGTGGTTGTTGGTAGCTCAGTTTTGCAGGACCTGGGTGATCACCCACGGCGTGAAAATTGCCTCTTTTTTTAATGAGAAATTGCCAAAATTGATGATAGCTCATCAGTTGAAAAGGTGAGTAATGCTGACAGTCGATTTCATCTGCCCCTTCACCACAAGTAACTGGTGTTCAGAGGTGGGTTTGGTTCCTTCCCAGCCTTTCCCCTTTGCATGAAGCTGTGTGCATGTACTTTGGTGTGTACACACACATGTTCCCTGGAGGGGTTACTTCTTTTTTTTATTTGGAGGGATAACTAGTGAGGCAGCCTGACACTTGCTTATCTTAAGTGTGGAGTCCTCTATGGAGTGGGCATTGGGTACTTACTAGCTGGCCTTTGCCAGCTGTTTGGCTGCCCCAGTTTCTGCCCTTCACAGACATGCTGGCCACCTGGTGTGACATTCAGTGGCCTGGTTTTCAGCTAGTATGATGAGACAAGTGGATCAGGTACATTATAAAACTGAAAAAACACACAACATGCAGAGGGAAAGGAATCAATGACCATGTGTGTACTGCTCTGCTAAAGTCCACATCACATGACTGAGATGACATTTTTTCACCTAACATTTGGGCCCTGAGAAAGGGAATTATGTTTTTATTTATAACAGAGTTAGAGGAAATACTACCAGGATTTCTTTTCCATTATCCCCAACTCCCACTTTACCCGCTCAAGTTTACCTACCTCAGAGAGAAAGAGGAGCTCTCCTGGTTAATGAGAACCTGAAATTATTTGAGTCAGGTCACTGTGTAAAGGTCACACTGCTTCTGTCTCCTTGTGCATCACTTACTCAGCTCAGATATTTCATAGCTCCCTGTATACAGGTAGATGTGTTGCCCTCCTAGCTGCTTTCTTGATTTGATACATGCCTGAGAGCATGTGAGAGCACTTAAGGTCTAGGCTCATGGGAGCACTGTTCTGCCCACCCCAGCTCATCTCTCCAGCTCAGCCAGCATGCATGCCTTCCTCCATCTGATTTCAGAGTAGGCAATGGGAGGTCTCACACTGACCTCAAGTTTATGTGACTTTTTCCACCTCTGCTTTCCCAGACAGCCTCTGCTGTGGGACTTGTAAGGAGATTTGTGAAGTCAGTATCTATTTTTCTTGTGTGGGTGTTTTATAAATTAGAGCCCTGGAGGGAAACAAATTTTAAAGGTACTCCAAACCCCTAACCTATAAACATCTAAGCCTGGCCCTTTTTTGGTGGTAAAATATATATAACATAAAACTTAACATTTTAACCGTGTTTAAATGTACAGTTCAGTGGCATCCAGTATATTCACAGTTTTGTAAAATCATCTCCTTTATCCATATCTACAACTTCTTTATCATCCTAAAGTGAAACACTATACCCACAAAGAAGTCTTTGAATAGAAGACTAATGAATTTGACTCCATAAAAATTAAAACTTTCTATGAGAGAAAAATGTCTCAAAGTCAAAAGTCAACAGATTGGGGAAATAGATCTGCAACATACATGACAGACAAAAAGCTAATTTGGGTTTTATATATATATATATCATTTATATTATAAATAAATGATATATATATATATCATTTATATTATAAATGATATATATATATCATTTATATTATAAATGATATATATATATATATATATATATCTCCTAAATTATTAAAAGATGAGCAGCCAAATTCACAAATGGACAAGGGATGTAAATAGTTCAAAGAAACACATAGATTTTTAAATATTTGCTAATTTTTTTACTGTGGTAAAATATGTGTAACAGAAAATTTAAGTATATTAAGTACAAATACATTGTTGTGCAACTATCACCACTATCCAATTCCAAACCTGTTTTATCATCCCAAAGTGAAACTCTGTATCCACGGAACAATAGCTCCCCATTTCCCTTCCTGCCATCCCCTGGATCCACATCCTACTTTATGTCTATGAATTTAACAGCTCTAGGTACGTTATAAAAGTGGAAAGCATAGAGTATATGAATTTTTTTTTAACCTTTTCGAGGTTTATGTTGTAGCATGTATTAGAATTTGTTTTTAAGGCTGAATAATATATCATTGTGTGTATACATCATATTTGCTTATCCATTCATCTGTAGATGGACTTTTGGGCTTCTTCTACCCTTTGGCTATTGTGAATGCTGCTATAAACATGGGTGTGCAAATTCCCACTTTCAGTTTTTTTGGGTATATACCCAGATGTGGACTTACTGGATCATATGGTGATTACTGTTTTCCACAGTGGCTGTGCCATCTTACTTTCCCACCAGCAGTGTGCAAGAGTCCTGACTTCTCCACATCCAGCATTTGCTGTTTTCTGGGGTCTTGTTGTTTGTTTTGGTTTGCTGGTGGTGGTTTTTTTGATGGTAGCTATACTTACATGTGTCAGTTGGTATTGCATTGTGGTTTGGATTTACATTTTTCTCATGATAGTGATGCTGAGCACCTTATACTGTGCTTACTGGTCATTTGTATATCTTCTTTAAAAAAATGTGTATTTTAAAACCTTTGCTCATGTTTAAATTTGAGTGTTTTGTTGTTGTTGCTGAGGTCTTTATATAGCCTGTATATTAATTACTTATCAAATATATAACGTGAATATTTTCTCCCCCTCCATGAATTGTGTTTTCAATCTATTGATTGTATCTTCAGATACATAAAAGCTTTTCACTTTGATGAAGTTCTTTTTACGTATTTTTGTGGTGGTTGTTGTCTGTGCCTTCACTGTCATATCCAAGAAATTATTGCCAGATTCTATGTTACGAATGTGGGTTAAATTTTGACAAATGCTTTGATTAAAATGATTACATGAGGGTTTTTTCCTTCTTTATGTTAATGTGATATTACACTGATTATCATGTTTTGGAACACACTTTTATTTCAGGAGTCAATTATACTCATTCATAGTGTACTCATTCAATCCTTTTAATGTACTGCTAAATTTGAATTGCTGATATTTTGTTGAGGATTTTTCTATCAGCATTTGTAAGGAATGTTTGTTTGTAGTTTTCTTATGCTGTCTTTGTCTGGCTTGGTGTCAGGGTAATAAGTAGCCTCATAGAATAAGTTAGAAAATGTCACCCCCTCTTCAACGTTTTGAAAAAGTTTGAGAAAAACTGGTGTTAATTGTGCTTTAAACGTTGAGTAGAATTCAACAGTGAAACCATCTGGTCCAGGCTTTTCTTTGTTGCTGGGTTTTTGATTACCGATGCAATCTTCTTGCTGAATCTCCTTGCTGAATAGGTTTATTCAACTTTTCTGATTCAGTCTTAGTAGGTTTTTTGTTTCTAGGAATTTGTTCATTTTATTTAGATTATTCAATTTTTAAGTGTACAGTTTCTTATGGTAGTCTCTTACATTCTTTTTTTACTCCAAAAATTTGGTAGTAATGTACCCATTTTATTTTTGAGTTTTGTAATTTGAGTATTCTTTTTTTTTCTTAGGCAATCTAGTTAAAGGTTTGGAAGTTTTGTTGAAATTTTTCAGAGCAGAAACTCGGTTTTGTTGATTTTTTGATATTGTTTTTCTATTCTCTATTTCACTTATTTCCACTGCTCTCTTTATCATTTTTTTATTTTGCTAGCTTTTAGTTGTTCCCTCTTTTTACCTCTGTTTTTAGTTCATTAGGTATAAAGTTAAGTTGTTGATTTGATATCTTTTTATAATCATTTGTAGCTATAAATTTTTCTCTTATGGTACTTTTTTGATGTATCTCTTTTTTGGTATTTCATATTTTTCATTTGTCTCTAGATATTTCCTGTTTTCTCTTGTGATTTCTTCTTTTATCCATCCCTGAGTGTTTAATACCTATATTTTTAGACATAAAAGGTGTAACCTACAGAATTCTCTTGATTTGTTACAATTTTATTTGTTGTAAATTTTTATTTCAGAATTAAATGTGTGTATCAACATTTGTTATATTCTCATAAATTTGTAATACATGGAGATTCCTGGTCCACATATGCAAGCCTTTACATGAATATTGTTTTGAAGCATTTAACCTTCTGTTTTAATATTGCAAATGTCTATATGAAATTGAGGTCTTGGTTTCTGAGATGAAATTATGGTAGGTGACTGAGAAATCCTTAAAAATTAGTGAAAACTCAAAATTAAGTTAAAGTTTACCTTCAAGCTTCAACCTGAATGAGTCACTCTGTATTGCTGGTAATAAAAAATAAGTCTTTAATGGTATAAAAGCAAACTTCAGAGAATGGTTTTTTCCCCCACTTGACATCTAAGTTAAAAGTTGTAAAAAAGTTTTATGGCCTTAAGCACTTTTTACTTTAGAATTCCAACTTTTTCTAGTTAAAAATTTTCTAAACAGATTCCTGTGTATTTGAAAGACAAATGATTTTTTAGTTGAAATGCTTAAGCAGTTTTTAAGAAGTTAAAGCTGTTGTGCTTATACTTGCTTTAAATAGTTTATTTAATATAACTACATTTTAAGAGTTCGATTGTTAATTTTCTCTAAACTTTGGTGAAGAAGTAGAAAGCATTACATAGATTTTTGACATATGTTTTCAAGGAATCTCTTTTAAAAATATTAAAGGTAGAACTATTTAACATAAAATTGAATCTTTAATTATGTGTTTGCATAATTTGAAAAAGTATGTCTCATAGCCCAAGTATGATACATATTTTCCCTTAGTAATATGAGGATAATAATTGTAGTTACCATGAGCTAACTATATGCCACATGACATGCTAAATTCTTTATGTACATTTATCTCCTAACATTCAGAATCATCTAATAAGTTTGTCAGTTTTATTGTCTCCATTTTTATAACCATTATTCTTGATTCATTATACAGTCTCATCATTTTTCTGTGCTTGATTTTTCATGTATGTTTGTTTCTTCATGTGCTTTTATTTCTAATAATAAACATTTAGAAATTAGAAATTAGAAAACTGAG
Organism: Homo sapiens; assembly: GCF_000001405.40. Taxonomy (NCBI): domain Eukaryota; kingdom Metazoa; phylum Chordata; class Mammalia; order Primates; family Hominidae; genus Homo; species Homo sapiens. The sequence continues at coordinate 34,156,953 of NC_000012.12, read as the reverse complement.
ATTTAAAAATGGAATAAATTGTCCACGGGACACCCAGCTATAAGACGCAAAGCCAGGATTAAAACTGGCATCTGACTGACTCTAAAACCTGCGATGGTAACCATTGTAATTGCAGAAAAACTTCCTTGATCATTCTACATGAATTAACTTATCTCTCTCTTTTTCTCTCATTCTTCATTTTTGTTCTTAGTACTCATTACAACTTGACATGCATGTGTAGATTTTTTTTATAGAGATGGGGTCTTGCTTTAATAATCATACATGTGTATTTTTAATTTGCTATCTTTCTCTCTTGCTCTTTCATTCACTGTTCTCCTAAAACAATTCTAGGCATTTGTATTGGTTTGTAGGTATTTGTTGATACTTAAATGAATGTAATTAGTGTATTCTGTACAGCATCGGTGCATATATTATTAAAGGTGTTATAGATTTTGTGTTTTCTTCTCTTTATATTTTTCTTTCTGTATTGCAACAGTCCCCAATCTTTTCAGCACCAGGGACTAGTTTCATGGAAGACAACTTATCCATGGACTGGGCAGGGGAATGATTTCAGAATGATTCAAGTATATTACATTTATTTCATACTTTATTGTATTGCATTGTAATATATAATGAAATAATTATACAACTCACCATAATGTAGAATCAGTGGGAGCGCTGAGCTTGTTTTCCTGCAACTAGACAGTTCCATTAGGGGGTGATGGGAGACAGTGACACCCAAAATGTGGTGCTTATGTCCAGTCTACTTCATAATCGTGCTCTGATTGCTGTCACTGCAAAAAAAAAAAAAAAAGCCTGCTTCACAAAGACAGGATTTTGGAAATGGGAGCAGGAGTTTCAGTGATACTATTGACAAAGAAATGTCAGTGCTAGAACAGCAATGGCTTCACTATCCTTAAATTTTACATAACATGTGCTATTATTGGTCCTTCTCCCTGTTCTTTTTTTCCTGATATCTCTCCTCTTAAATGGTATATATAATCCTGTTATTTTATTTCTAAATTTTTAAATTCTTTTTTCAATGCCTGCAAGTCTTTACTGAACACCTCTATAATCATTTAATTCTATTTCAATAGCTAAGCTGCCCATCTGGTATTTCCATTGGTTATTATACCTGTCACAAACTTGATAAATCTGAAATTCAGTTCTATAGATAATTTTCTTGTAATAGTTTAAAAATGTCTTCAAAATTTACTTGACACTCTTCAAAAAGTATGAAGGATCTTCAAAAAGTTCATGGGAAATGCATATTATGAAGAAACTATGCATAGATTTCAAAAATATTTTGCAATTAATTTGTACTAACTTTGTTATAACATGTCTGAACAGGATCTAATTTGAGGAATTATAATAAGGAAACTAAGACACCACTTTGAAAAGAGATCCTATTAGAGCAAAATGAATTCTGCTAAAATTAAAGCAAGAATAAAAGTCAAATTTTTCGCAATTTGGGGTGAAAGAATGGTAAAATCACTGATTCTTTATAATAACTTATGAGGACAATGCCCCCCAACATTCACAAGCATACAAATGAATAACACATTTTAAGAAGGGATGATAAGGTGTTGGAGATAAAGCCTGCAGTGGCAGACATTTCATGTTAATTCACCAGAAAAGAAATTAATCTTGTTCATGCCCTGCTTTAGGAATGACAACAGTATAAACAACAGTCAACACAACAGCCATCTCAATTTGTTAAACTCTTGTTCCTAGATCAGCTGCAGACAAGAGCAGAGCTTTCAACTGAAATTGTACGTAAGTGTAATCAGGATCCTGAAGCATTTCTTCAAATAATTGTGTGAGGAAGTCAAACACAGCTGTTCCAGTGAAATTTTCAAGACAAAACACAATTAAAGCAATGGCTACCAAGAGGTAAAAGTGGTCCAGTCTCAGCAAAAGGTGACTGGTCTAGAACAAAGCTCATAGCAACAGTGTCTTAGGATGCTCAAGGCGTTTTTCCTGCTGGCTTTCTAGAGGGCCAAAACAAACCAACAAAAACCCCAATAACGCATGCTATTATGGAGTATTTTGAGAAAGTTAGCCAAAGCTTTAGAAGAAAAATTTCCAGAAAATTTCACCAGAGAATTCTTCACCACAACAGTGTTCCTCATCATTCCTCTCACTTAAAAAAAGACAATTTTGCCTGAGTTTCCATGGAAAATTATTAAGCATCCACCTCTTAGCCCTGATTTGGCTCCTTCTAACTTCTTTTTCTTTTCAGATTTTAAAAAACTTTAAAGGATACCCATTTTTCTTCTATTAATAATGTAGAAAAGACTTTCTTGACATGGTTAAATTCCCAGGACCTTACTTTTTGTAGGGATAGACTAAAGGCTGGTATTATTGCTTATAAAAGTGTCTTGAACTTGATGAAGCTTATGTTGAGAAATAAAGTTTATATATTTTATTTTTGTGTTTTACTTTCATTTTTTCACAAACTTACTGAAGTCCTTTCATAGACCCTAATTCTCTTCTTCTTGAAGGTATGTCAAGCTTAAAAATCCTTTCTGGTGAATAGAATGTAATGGAAGTGACCACGTGTGACTTCTGAGTCTAGATCATAAAAGATTTTGCCACTAATGCGTTGCTTTTTCCTAAGCCACTCACTCTGGAAGAAACCAGCCGCTATTTGGTGAGAACAGTCAAGCAGCCCTACAAAAATATCCATGTGGAGAAAACCAAGGCCTTCAATTACAAATCCCACCAATTTGCAGGCCGTGAATGTTAGCAAACTTGAAAGTGGATCTTCTAGTTTTGGTCAAGCCTTGGATGACAGCCCCAATTGAAATCTGACTGTAACCACATGAGATGTCCTGAGGCACAACCACCATGATAAATTGTTCTTGAATTTCTCATTTTCAGAAACTCGATTAGGTAATAAATATTGTGATTTCATGCCACAAAGTTTTGGGGTTACATGGTATGAAAAAGTAGATAGCAATTTTACTCTCTCAACATCCATTATATTTTTTAAATAATCATGCATTTTTAATAATGGGGATATATCTTGAGAAATGCACCATTGTGTAGTATGATTGTTGTGTGAACTTCATAGAATGTACTCACACAAACCTAGGTGGTATAGCCTATCACAGACCTAGACTATATGGTACAGCCTATTGCTCCTAAACTACAAACCAGTACTGCATGTTACCATGCTGAATACTGCAGGCAATTGTAACACAGTGGTCAGCATTTGTGTACATAAACAGAAAAGGCACAGTAAAATTGTTATAAAAGATTTAAAAATGGTACAGTTGAATAGGGCACTTACCTCAGGTGGTCTTCTAATTTTCATGGTCACATGAAGATTCCACTGAAATATATTCTGCACTACTCACTGCCATAGGTGACAGCCTTGACTATGTGCACCACCCATGAAGGTGCCTTTACCTTGCTTTTCCTGACTTGTCAAGTGCATGATGATGAGGTAAGTCAGCACAGGAGCTGAACTCTGTTCTCTTTCTATGGAGTTCTGCAGCTATTTATTCTCAGTTTGGTACCTAGACTTTGTAGACCCCATTTCATTGACATTCTTGGTAGAATCAGGCCATCTTCATCCCATTGTGCTATCCTTGTGTTATTGTTATGTGTTACAATGCCTAAAGTTATATTTTTATAAGAACAAGCAGGGTAGACCATAGGCATAGGACTTTTGTGCCTATTGTTTCAGCCAACCTCACAGAGGGGACAGTTAGTGGTTTTCCCTCGATCAGCATCAATTTGGATAAACGTTGCTGTCAGTTACTGTGAAACTGGTTACATTCTCCTTTCACTTTTTTCATGTTAAAAAACATCTTTAATCCATAGAGCATGTTTTCTCTGGTTTTATACCCACTAGGGTCATAGGCTTTTTTCTGCTTTATGATATGGCCAACCATTGCATTAGGGCTGAGATATTAGGTGCACAGGATTATACACAAACTGTACTCTAAACACTCTTCATTTTAGGATAAAACTATTGGTACTTCTATACACTTTAATTACAATTCTTACACTTATTTATCTGAATAGCATTCTTCATCAAGGATTATTTGAGCCTTTAATGGCCACATTAATGAATGTTGACTGGAGAAACATTGTTCCTTTGAGAGGCACTTTAGGAAAACAAAAATTTCTCAGGTCCAATGGGCAGTATTTTTACTTGGTAGGCAGAAAACTCTACATATAATTCTGAATTAAACATTTCTCCACTAAAATATTATGTGGCTAAAGAGGCTAAAGATGAAAAAATTTACAATCAGAAGCAACAAAAACTAGAGACATTTTTTAGTAAATCCTTCCCCTCCTAGTCCTTCGGTTGCCTCCTGGCATGCAGCTCTCCCTCCGGCCCCTTATGATTCTGATCTCTCTTCTTTTGCCCCACCATTGACTTCTCCTTCTTGCTGCTTGTTCTGAAATTATTTTCCCAACTGTCATAAATTCCCAAATTGTTTGTTTCATCTAAAGATCCACCTTTACCATGAGCCAGATATGTAAGCAGCTGCAGAATTTAAATTTATTGCATGAGTTCAGAGTTGTACATGAACTAACAAGTTATAATTAACAATTTTTAAAAACTAAAGAAAATCAAATATTCATCAAATAATTTAGAATTATTTAGGGCACATATGGCCCACAGTTACTTGACATATCATCTTGTACACCTGTTAATTGGAACACCAAATACTAAATCCTGGATGACAAAATGTGATTGGCCTGACCTGGTAGAAAACTTGTAGAATTCCTCTTTCCAAAATAAATATCAAGGTCAAAATCATTCATAAAAACAAATTATTAATCTATAGAAGAATTTGGAAATAGACTATAAAATTTATTGTCAGAACTCAGAGTTAAACAGTTTTTCATTAAAAATCAAATTATGTAAAAGTTATAAAATGTAAAGTCTTCATAGGGATGATTATATAATAAAAGCTATCACAAATAGGAAACTTCAGAAATTATAATTATTTTGCCATTTATGTTTTAATATCAACTATAATTATTGTTTATTAAAAGAAAGATCATGAGGTGATCAGAAGCAGACAAGGAGGATAGACATTTCCTCATTTATTCACTCAGCAACTCTGCCACAGAACTAAACCTATGCCAAGTGCCCTGGTGGGCCCAGCATGAGGCTGAGAAATGATTGAGTGGCCTTTTCCCCCACTCAAGGAGACAACAGTCTGAGGATATATGGATGAAAACACTAAAGCAAGTACATGTAAAAGAAGAGTAAATGCTGTAATTAAAATAAAGTAGGATGTTGGGAAGGAGGGCAGAGGGCCATAGCATTCCAGGGACCCAAATGCCTCACTGAGGTGACATTTATGCCTTGAACAGGGTGACAACAGAGGGCCAGCCCTGCACAAGTCTGGGAACAGTGTGTCAGGGAGATGCCACTCCTGGTGCAGAGACATGCAGGCAGAAGTGACTTTGGCAGAGGATGTGAGAAAGAGGCTGGTGGATCTAGAGGGAGCTAGAAAAGGAGATGGGAGGAGGACTCTGGGGCCTGGAAGAAGAATAAAGTGATCTGCTTCTCTCTGACAACATTGTCCCCAAACTTAGCACCTTTAACAACAAATGCTTACTATCTCATGGTTTATGTGGCCCTGAATCTGCAATCAGCTTCACTGGCTCCCTGCACATGGGGCTCCATGAGGCTGGGGCTGTGTTCTCAGCTGAAGCTGGGCTGTGAGAGGATTGACTTCCAAGCACACTCATTGTGGGTATTGGCCAGATTCAGTGTAGACTGAGAGTCTGAGTGTCTCCCAGTGCCTGGGCACTCCCTCATTCTCTGTTGTGTAGGCTGCTGCATAGGGCAGTTCATAACACTGGAGCTTGCTTTCTGAACTTTAGGAATGCAGTAGAAAGACAGGAAGAGAGATACATATTGACAGAGAGAGAAAGACATAGGCAGAAACTGAGGGAGAAAACACTGGACATAGTAAGTAGAGAAGAGAGAAATCGAGAGAGAGATTGAGGGAGGAAACACAGAAGAAAGTGACTAGGAGAAAATGAAAGCTTGTTTGATAATGACATAATGAGAGTTGCAATAGACTGAACATTTCCCCACCAAAAACTGTACATTGAAATCCTAGCCCCCATTGTAACAGTACTAGGAAGTGGGAGGTAATTAGGTCCTGAAGGTGAAACCCTCAGGAACGGGATTACTGGCTCTATTAAAACAAAAAACAAAAAAACCCAGAGAGCTCCCTTCTCCACTATCTGTCAGGTAAAAATGCAATGTAAAGTCTACAGTCTGAAAGTCAGAAGAGAGAGTTCTCACCAGAGCTCAACCATGCTGGCATTCTGACCTTCAACTTATGTCCTCTAGAATTGTGAGAAAGAACATTCTGTTGTTGATAAGTGGCTCAGTCTATCTTTGCTATAACAGTCTGACCTAAGAAGTGTTATCCCATCATGTTTATTGCATTCCATTTGTCAGACGTGAGCCACAGACCCCTGAGTGTTGTGAGCCTTCCTGTAGTCTGCCCACCACATAGGCCAAAATGAAGGACATGGGTCTGATTCTGAATATAATGAGAAGTCACTCTAAGGAATAATGTCAGAAAATGACAGCATCTGAATTTCATTTCACCTCAAACTCTTACTGGTGCAGAATGAAAAATGAGGCTGAGAGGGGAAGCGACTTTTCAATATCACATTGCTGGACACAGGCCTGTTTGAGTTGTATTCTATGCTACCTCCCATTCCTTCTTATAATTCTTTTATCTCTAAGTGTGTGCATTATCTACATGGGATGCCACACCATGAGTTTTACAAGTTTTATCTCATACGTACCTGATGAGGAAGGAGATACCCTAAAAAAGGAGATGCTGGCATGTTACCCACTGTACAGGTCGAAAGGCCCCAAAACCCACAATAACTTTTCTAGTGTCACAAAACTAATAAGAAAAAGTTGGTTCTTACTCCGATCTATGACCTCACACCTGAGACCCTGGCTTCATTCAGGTCTTCAGGGAACTGAGGAGGGCTGTGCTTGCATAATTGTTCACAGGTAAAGAGTTGACATGCAGGGATAGTGAGCTGTCAGTAGCCCAGCAGGGCCTTTGGATGGGTTTTATGGAAGAAAGCAAGGAGTCCAGAGGATGAAACTTTGAAAAAGTGATCTTACTTCCTTGGTGACAGACCCCAACAGAACATAGAACTCTGGTAACCAAGCACCCACATCCTAGAGACAGCCTTGTATCCAGGTCACTTGGTGGGAAATGCCTAAGAGGACACAATATGCTCCTGCTAGATCTCAACGCTCTTAGGCTCTTGCTTCAGGAAGACCTAAAGTGCAAACCTTTTCTGAGATGCTGACATTGGCTTATTCTTCACCCCAGATGTATCTGGAGATTTTGTAGGGGTTGCCCAGAGGTAACATACCATAAGCCTAGGGAAGGCCCCTCCAGCCTGGGTCTCACCAGTGCTTTCATTTCCCTTTGAATTAGAATGTAAGGAAAAATCAGGAATTTAAAATAGCAAAAATTGACCAAAAGTACATTTTTGTTAGATTCCCTAAGGTTCTGTATTGGTGGTGGTGGTGGTGGTGTTTTGTTTGTTTGAGACAGGACCTCACTCTCATTCAGGCTGGAGTTCAGTGGCACAATCATAGCTTGCTGTAGCCTAGATCTCCTGAGCTCAAGCAATTCTCTCACCTCAGCCTCCCAAGTAGCTGAGAGACTATAGGTGCACACCACCACACCTGGCTAATATATATATTTTTTATTTTTAGCAGAGATAAGGCCTCATTATGTTGCCCAGGTCTGTCTTGAACTCCTGAACTCAAGCAATCCTCAATTTTTGATACATAGATGTGCTAGGTGTAGGATTCTTAGTCGACAGTTTTATTTTTTTTTTCTGTGAGCACTGACCAAGGAACATTTAAAAAGAAGAAATAGAGAAACTTCAAATAAGGCAATTAAATGAACAAATAAAGAGCTAAGAAACAACAAAGATTGAGTATTGAGGTTGTAGTTATGGCAGCTAATGATAGAATGGATCCAGTCAGAGAGTTCAGGCAGAATTGTATTTGCAGAGAGTAGAAGTCTGAGGGTGATGGTGTCCTAAATGAGGCCAATTGGAAGACTTTTTTGTTATAGAATCAAAGACAACGCATGGGAACATACCATGCCAAACCCAAACAGGCTGAGCTGGTGCTCTGTGCTAAGATATATAGGTTTATGGGAAGAAAAGCTACCATTATAACATCGTGTTTTTTTAATTTAAAAAAATCATAAATGTGGCAGTTATAATCAGGATTAAGTTTGAAGTTATATTTCAGGTTTGGTTGGTAGGTGTCACAAAGCAAAAAATGTGTCTGTTGCCAAGAAGTGGGCATTCTAGTTTGTGAAATAAAATATCCCCATGACTAGAGACAGTAGATAAGAAAAAGGGATGGGATGGGCCGGGCGTGCTGGCTCACATCTGTAATCCCAGCACTCTGGGAGGCCGAGGCGGGCAGATCACGAGGTCAGGAGATCGAGACCATGCTGGCTAACACAGTGAAACCCCGTCTCTACTAAAAAATACAAAAATTTAGCCGGGCGTGGTGGCGGGCGCCTGTAGTCCCAGCTACTCGGGAGGCTGAGGCAGGAGAATGGCGTGCACCCGGGAGGCGGAGCTTGCAGTGAGCTGAGATTGCACCACTGCACTCCAGCCTGGGTGACAGAGAGAGAGTCATCTCAAAAAAAGAAAAAAAAAAAAAATTGATGGGATGGCAAACACAAGTTCTTGGAAATTTATGTCAAAATAAAGTATATAAAGAAGGACAATGTGCATCTCAGTCACCAATGCTGCCTGCAATTGAGGTGTTTTTTTTCTGCCCTTGATAAATATACCAGGCCTACTATGTGAGAGGTGAAAAGCAGCCTACATTCTGCTTCCCATGCCAGATGCCTTGACTTGGGGCTCTGTTCCCAGGGAGAAAAAACACATCTTTTAAGTAATTTTGGGTCATGAGGTATCTTCCAAATTCCAACAAAGTAGCTTATATTTCTAGGTGACCCTGAGACCACTGAAAAAGAAAGAAATGAAAGCCATGAAACTTTCTTGAACTGGTGGGAATCCATGAGAAAATCTGACATTATGTTCTATTCTCTTGGAAAGTAGAAATACTGTTTGACTTCTGTTTTGCTGACAAGAAATGTGGTCCTGAGCAAGGCTACCTGGTACAACGGCCTCATACATGGAAAACGTTGGAGCCCATCTCTTTCCAATCTGCTGTTTTCCAAAAATTAGGGGAGTTCAGTTTTCCCTTTGATACTCTCTGTTTCTAACAATCCCAATGCCAGGGCTGTCCTGCTTCTACAAGTGACAATGACAAATACAGGCCTGAAGAAAGATGAGCTGATGGCATTCCCAGCTTATTACCACTCCTTGGGGCCTTATCTCACATACATGGATTCAATTCATAGACTCAGCTGGGTGAGTATATATTATTTAGCTGCATTAGAAGTGACTGCTTAGGTCGGGCGCGGTGGCTCACTCCTGTAATCCCAGCACTTTGGGAGGTCGAGGCGAGCGGATCACGAGGTCAGGAGATTGACACCATCCTGGCTAACACAGTGAAACTCCATCTCTACTAAAAATGCAAAAAATTAGCCGGCATGGTGGTGGGCGCCTATACTCCCAGCTACTCAGGAGGCTGAGGCAGGAGAATGGCATAAACCCGGGAGGTGGAGCTTGCAGTGAGCAGAGATTTCGCCACTGCACTGCAGCCTGGGTGACAGAGCGAGACTCTGTCTCAAAAAAAAAAAAAAAAAAAAAGGAAGTGGCTGCTTAAGACTCAGGTGTGTGGTGAAATGAGGCAGAATATTCTCAATGGAGTGTTAGAATTTTCTCCTCATAATTACCATCTTACTATCACTAAATCATAGCTAAAATAAGGAAATTAAGAAGAAATAGAAATATAATCTTATGAGGACATAAATTTAGAGATTTATGGAAAGGTCTTCATAATTTTATGGTGTTCTCTTTGAGCTGGGATTATAGTTGACATTTCATTGTGATATATTAGCTATACTAGACTTTATGCATTTATGTAAAGTTTTTTTTATTATACTTTAAGTTCTGGGATACATGGGCAGGGCGCGCAGGTTAGTTACCTAGGTATAGACATGCCATGGTGGTTTGCTGCACCCATCAACCCGTCATCTACATTAGGTATTTCTCCTGATGCTATTCCTCCCCCAGCTCCCCACCCTCAGACAGGCCCTATTGTGTGATGTTCCCCTGCTTGTGTCCATGTGTTCTCATTGTTCAACTCCCACTTATGAGTGAGAACATGTGGTTTTTGGTTTTCTTTTCTTTTTTCTTTTGTTTTCTTTCTTTTTTTTTTTTTTTTTTTGAGGTGGAGTTTTGCTCTTGTTGCCCAGGCTGGGGTGCAGTGGCATAATCTCAGTTCATTGCAACCTCTGCCTCCTGGGTTCAAGCTATCCTCCTGCCCCAGCCTACCAGGTAGATGGGATTACAGGCATGTGCCACCACACCTGGCTAATTTTTTGTATTTTTAGTAGAGACCTGGTTTCTCCATGTTGGTCAGGCTGGTCTCAAACTCCCGACCTCAGGTGATCTGCCCACTTCAGCCTCTCAAAGTTCTGGGATTACAAGCATGAGCCAGGGTGCCCGGCCTGATTTTCTTTTCTTGTGTTAGTTTGCTGAGCATGATGGTTTCCAGCTTCATCCATGTCCCTGGAAAGGATATAAACTTATCCTGTTTTATGGCTGCATAGTATTCCCTGTGTATATTTGCCACATTTTCTTTATCCAGTCTATTATCGATGGGCATTTGGGTTGGTTTCAAGTCTTTGCTATTGTGAACAGTGCTGAAATAAACGTGTGCATGTGTCTTTATAGAAAAATGATTTATAATCCTTTGGGTATATACTCAGTAATGGGATTGCTGGGTCAAATGGTATTTCTGGTTTTAGATCCTTTAGGAAGTGCTACACTGTCTTCCACAATTTTTGAACTAATTTAAACTCCCACTAACAGTGTAAAAGTGTTTCTATTTTCCACACCCTCTCCAGCATCTGTTGTTTCCTAACTTTTTAATAATCACCATTCTAACTGGTGTGAGATGGCATCTCATTGTGGTTTTGATTTGCATTTCTCTAATGACCAGTGATGAGTTTTTTTTTCATATGTTTGTTGGCCACATAAATGTCTTCTTTTGAGAAGTGTCTGCTTGTTTCCTTCGCCCACTTTTTGATGGGGTTGTTTTTTTCTTGTAAATTTGTTTAAGTTCTTTGTAGATTCTGGATATTAGCCCTCTGTCAGATGGATAGATTGCAAAAATTTTCTCCCGTTCTGTAGGTTGTCTGTTCACTCTGATGATAGTTTCTTCTGCTTTGCAGAAGCTCTTTAGTTTAATTAGATCCCATTTGTCAATTTTGGCTTTTGTTACCATTGCTTTTGGTGTTTTAGTCATGAAGTCTTTGCCCATGCCTATGTCCTAAATGATATTGCCTAGGTTTTCTTCTAGAGTCTTTATGGTTTTAGGTCTTATGTTTAAATCTTTAATCCATGTTCAGTTAATTTTTGTATAAGGTGTAAGGAAGACGTACAGTTTCAGTTTCCTGCATATGGCTAGCCAGTTTTCCCAACGTGATTTATTAAGTAAGGGATCCTTTCCCCATTGCTTGTGTTTGTCAGGTTTGTTATCAGATGATTGTATGTGTATGGTCTTATTTCTGAGTTCTCTATTCTGTTCCATTGGTCTATATGCCTGTTTTTGTACCAGTACCATGCTGTTTTGGTTACTGTAGCCTTATAGTATAGTTTGAAGTTGGGTAGTGTGATGCCTCCAGCTTTGTTCTTTTTCCTTAGAATTGTTTTGGCTATTTGGGCTCTTTTTTAGTTCCATAAGAATTTTGAAATAGTTTCTTCTAATTCTGTGAAGAATGTCAATGGTAGTTTAATGGGAATAGCACTGAATTATTTTACAAATTACTTTGGGCAGTATGACCATTTTTATGAATTAATTCTTCCTATGCATAAGCATGGAATGTTTCTCCATTTGTTTGTGTCCTCTCTGATTTCTCTGAGCAGTGGTTTGTAGTCCTTGAAGAGGTCCTTCATTTCTCTTGTTAGCTATATTCCTAGGTATTTTATTCTCTTTGTAGCAATTGTGAATGAAGTTCATTCATGATTTGGCTCTTTGCTTGCCTGTTGTTGGTGTATTGGAATGCTAGTAACTTTTGCACATTGATTTTGTATCCTGAGACTTTGCTGAAGTGGTTTATCAGCTTAAGAAGCTTTGGGGCTGAGATGATGGGGTTTTCTAGACACAGGATCATGTCATCTGCAAAGATAATTTGACTTCCTTTCTTCCTATTTAAATACCTTTATTTCTTTCTCCTGCCCGATTGCCCTGGCCAGAAACTTCAATACTATGTGGAATAGGACTGGTGAGAGAGGCCATCCTTGTCTTGTGCCTGTTTTCAAGAATACTTTCAGATTTTGCCCATACAGTATGATATTGGCTGTGGGTTTGTCATGTATGGCTCTTATTATTTTGAGGTATGATCCTTCAATAGCTAGTTTATTGAGAGTTTTTTTTTTAACATGAAGGGATGTTGAATTTTATTGAAGGCATTTTCTGCATCTATTGAGATAATCACATTGTTTTTGTGTTTAGTTCTGTTTATGTGATGAATTACATTTATAGATTTGCCTATGTTGAAGCAACCTCGTATCCCAAGGATGAAGCCATCTTGATCATGGTGGATCAATGTATCCTTATCAGTCTTAGGTTTAGTCTTTTTACATAATCCCATATTTCTTGAAGGTTTTGTTCATTCTTTTTTGTTCTTTTTTCTCTATTCTTCTATTCCTGTCTTATATCAGACAGATAGTTTTCAAGCTCTGAGATTCTTTCCTCCACTTGGCCTATTCTGCTAATGATACTTGTGGTTGCATTGTGAAGTTCTCATGTTGTGTTTTTCAGCTCCATCAGGTCAGTTATGTTCCTCTCTAAACTGAATATTCTAGTTATCAGCTCATGTATTTTTTTAAATGATTCTTAGCTTCTTTGCATTAAGTTAGAATATGTTCCTTTAGCTCAGTGAAGTTTGTTATTACCCACCTTCTAAAGCCTACTTTCGTCAATTCAGCCATCTCAGCCTCCAGCCAGTTCTGTGCCCTTGCTGGGGAGGTTGTGTTGTCATTTAGAGGAGAAGAGGCATTCTGCCTTTTTGAGTTTTTAGTATTTTTGTGTTGATGCTTTCTCATCTTTGTGGGCTTATCTACCTTTGATCTTTGATGTTGCTGACTCTTGAATGGGGTTTTTGTGGGGTCTTTTTTGTTGATGTTGTTGCTTTCTGTTTTTAACAGTCAGACCACTCTTCCCTAGGGCTGCTGTGGTTTTCTGGGGGTCCACTCTAGACCTCAGTCACCTCAGTCTCTCCTGAACCTGGAGGTATCACCAGTGAAGGCTGCAAAACAGCAAAGATGGCAGCCTGATCCTTTCTCTGGGAGCACCATTTCAAGGGGGTACTGACTTGATGCCAGCTGGAATGCTCCTATAGGAGATGTCTGGAGATCCTTTTTGGGAGGTCTCACCCAGTCAGGAGGAACAGGATCAGGGACTGCTTAAAGAAGCAGTCTGGCTGCCCCTTGGCAGACAGGTGTGCTGTGCTGACCCCCGGGAGTCTCTAGAGCCAGCAGGCTGGAAAGGCTAGGTCAGCTGAACCGGGGAGACAGCAGCTACCCCTCTCCCTGGGGACTTCATCCCAGGGAGAAATCAGAGTTATGTCCATAGAACTCTGGCTGGAGCTGCTAAAATTCTGATGGGGAGGTCCTGTCCAGTGAGGAGGGATGGACTGCGTTCTCACTTAAAGAAGCAGACTAGCCACAATCAGGCACAGCACCTGTGCTGTGTTATGGGGAACTCCTCCTGGTCCTTGGTGCCAACGGGCTAGAGCGGCCAACTCAAACCACAGATATAGCGGCTGCCCCTCCCTCAGGGAACTCGGTCCATCTCCGGCTGTCTTCAGCCTGCTGCTGCTGGCCAGCTGGAATTCTAAGCCAATGGGTCTTAACTTGTGACGTGCTGTGGGAGTGGGGCCCACAGAATGATGCCACTTGGCTCCCTGGATTCAGCCCCCTTCCTAGGGGAATGCATGCATGTATCTCCCACTTTGCTGGAATTCTCAGGGCAGAGTATGCAAAACTCCTGGGTTTCGGTGCATGCCCGAGTGAGCCAGCGAGCACTCCGCCGAGACTCCACACAGCTCTGTGCTTCAGACCCAAGGCCGTGGTGGCTGGGCCCACGAGGGGATCTCCTAATCTGCAGGTTGCAAAGATCCGTGGGAGAAGCATGGTTTCCCGGACAGAGTCGCACAATCACTCACCACCTCACTTGGCTGCGAGTGGGGGCTCCCCTAGCTCCATGCCACACCTGGGTGGGCCATCACCCCACTTGCTTTTCCTCACTCTCTGTGGGTTGAGCTGTCTGCCTAGTCAGTCACAATGCAAGAACCTGGATACCTCAATTGAAGGTGTAGAATTCACTCACAGTTTTCATTGCTCTCCATGCTTCTGATCGGCCAGCTTGGCCCCATCTAAAGTATGATTTCTTAATACATGAGCTGTTTTAAATACATAACAATAATGATATTTATCACAAATAATGTTTTGTCTCAATGTGATATAAAAATTGCTAATCAATTCTTTTTTGATTACCACAAAACTATCTGGAAAGGTATCATCTGCCATTTATAAAGTTTTTGTAGAGTTAATAGAACTTTACCTGAAGGGAGGCTGGCAATATGCATCATGATTTCAAATATTGTATTAATTGTTTTGTAATTTTGTGTTTTTTAAAACTAAACTTATTGTATTGGTTATATATTACTTTAAGTAACACTATTTGGTGATGAGAGAATAATAATTTGCAAAATATTAAGAATATAAGAGTTCCTTATTATAAAAATGTCCTCTGTTTTATATTACTATCATTTCCTCTGAAAGTTTAGAATTGTTATTTTCTAATTAAAACATATATTCAAAAATGTGACTTGTAAATGTTACTATTTATAATTTTTTTTTTTTTTTTGCATTTGGTAGGGATAGGATTTTCTGGTGTCTATTCTTCAAAATGAAAGATAGAGAGAATGGAATCAGGAAAGGTTAAAACACAAAGGAACACAATGATGATGATAGAGATTACTCATTTGCGGCCGGCCAGGGCCTAAAAATATCAAGAAGAAACATGATCAATAGAAAACCTGCATGTCCCTGAACATTATGGAATTTTTACTTTCTCTTAAAATTATTCATGATAAAAATCTCTGTTCTTTGCGCATTTAGGAGAGAGAAAATCAGAGTGCAGGGACCTCCCCTGATCCTGATAAGAGCATCCAAAGTACAAAGAGTGTGTCTTAATCTCCTCCCAACTCCATGGTGGAAACAGTTGCTCTGGGTATCTTATTACAGTGATCCACAGGGACATATTGGCCAAAGAGCTTGCGCACTTTAAAAAAGAAATGTTGGCTGGGTGCAGTGGCTCACGCCTGTAATCCCAGCACGTTGGGAGCCTAAGGCCAGTGGATCACGAGGTCAGGAGTTTAAGACCAGCCTGGCCAAGATGGTGAAACCCCGTCTCTACTAAAAATACAAAAATTAGCCAGATGTGGTGGCAGAAACATGTAATCCCAGCTACTCTGGAGGCTGAGGCAGGGGAATTGCTTGAACCAGGGTGGTAGAGGTTGCAGTGAGCTGAGATCGAGCCACTGCACTCCAGCCTGGGTGAAAGAGTGAGACTCTTGTCTCAAAAAAAAAAAAAAAAAATTATGTTGAGATTTTAAAAATAAATGACATGACTTGTCTACAGATCTTCATTTCTCTACCTCACTTAAATTTATGAACAACTTACATAATATAACACTGGGCTTTTATTATTAATATTATTGTGATAATTTCTTTGTCAACACCATTTTTACCGTATTGTATAAACAGCATTGTAAGACCTGTGACTGGTCATTGACAATATATACAATATGTATATATTTGTACACAGGATCTAGCTCTGTCATTCTTGCTGGAGTGCAGTGGTACAATCATAGATCACTACAGATTCAAACACCTAAGCTCAAGCAATTCTCTCACCTCAGCCTCCCTAGTGGCTGGGACTACAGGCATATGTCACCACAGCAGGCTAGTTTAAAAAGAAATTGTAGAGACAGGGTCTTCTATGTTGCCCAGGCTAGTCTTAAACTCCTGGCCTGAAGTGATCCTCAAACACTGGCCTCCCAAAGTGTTAGGATTACAGGTTTGAGCCACCATGCCCCACCTGCTCATATATTCTTTAATAATGAGATAAGAAAAACCTATCACCACGTAGGATTTTTAGAAGTTTCCAAAAATTGTAACATGGCTTGTGATCAAGCCCCTCCCCTGTTTTCTTTTTTTTTTAAATATAAATCCACTGAATTATTTATATTTACACATAACATGTATGTAACAGAAAAATGCTTCTCATACAATGTCAAACCAAAAGGAGCTAGATATAAAAATGTACAATTAATGAAAACCTGAATTTAATGCATAGGAAGTACAAGGAGGAAAAACACTAAAATAGTGATTATTGTTGGTTAACACAATGGTATAGAATGACTTTTCCCATTTCCCAGTATCTTGCACGTTTCAAACTGTGGTTTCATTGCTTCTATTATTTTTATACATCTTTTAAAAAATGGGAGGGGAGGATTTCATAGGGTATTTGCAAATTTAAAATAGAATACAAATCTGAGTGTTCTTTGAAACTTTTTCAAAAATCAAAAATAGTGCAATGATAAGGATGTTTCTTTTTCTAATCTTTTTTTTATTTTATTACTATTATACTTTAAGGTTTAGGGTACATGTGCACAACATGCAGGTTTGTTACATATGTATACCTGTACCATGTTGGTGTGCTGCACCCATTAACTCATCATTTAGCATTAGGTATATCTCCTAATGCTATCCCTCCCCCCTCCCCCCACCCCACAACAGTCCCCAGTGTGTGATGTTCCCCTTCCTGTGTCCATGTGTTCTCACTGTTCTAGTCCCACCTATAAGAGAGAACAGGCGGTGTTTGGTTTTCTGTCCCTGCGATAGTTTGCTGAGAATGATGGTTTCCAGCTTCATCCATGTCCCTACAAAGAACATGAACTCATCATTTTTTATGGCTGCATAGTATTCCATGGTGTATATGTGCCACATTTTCTTAATCCAGTCTATCATTGTTGGACATTTGGGTTGGTTCCAAGTCTTTGCTATTGTGAATAGTGCCGCAATAAACATACATGTGCATGTGTCTTTATAGCAGCATGATTTATAATTGTTTGGGTATATACCCAGTAATGGGATGGCTGGGTCAAATGGTATTTCTAGTTCTAGATCCCTGAGGAATCGCCACACTGTCTTCCACAATGGTTGAACTAGTTTACAGTCCCACCAACAGTGTAAAAGTGTTCCTATTTCTCCACATCCTCTCCAGCACCTGTTGTTTCCTGACTTTTTAATGATCACCATTCTAACTGGTGTGAGATGATATCTCATCATGGTTTTGATTTGCATTTCTCTGATGGCCAGTGATGATTAGCATTTTTTCATGTGTTTTTTAGCTGCATAAATGTCTTCTTTTGGGAAGTGTCTGTTCATATCCTTCACCCACTTTTTGATGGGGTTGTTTGTTTTTTTCTTGTAAATTTGTTTGAGTTCATTGTAGATTCTGGACATTAGCCCTTTGTCAGATGAGTAGATTGCAAAAATTTTCTCCCATTCTGTAGGTTGCCTGTTCACTCTGATGGTAGTTTCTTTTGCTGTGCAGAAGCTCTTTAGTTGAATTAGAATCCATTTGTCAATTTTGGCTTTTGTTGCCATTGCTTTTGGTGTTTTAGACATGAAGTCCTTGCCCATGCCTATGTCCTGAATGGTATTGCCTAGGTTTTCTTCTAGGGTTTTTATGGTTTTAGGTCTAACAGGTAAGTCTTTAATCCATCTTGAATTAATTTTTGTGTAAGGTATAAGGAAAGGATCCAGTTTCAGCTTTCTACATATGGCTAGCCAGTTTCCCCAGCACCATTTATTAAATAGGGAATCCTTTCCCCATTTCTTGTTTTTGTCAGGTTTATCAAAGATCAGATAGTTGTAGATATGCGGCATTATTTCTGAGGGCTCTGTTCTGTTCCATTGGTCTATATCTCTGTTTTGGTACCAGAACCATGCTGTTTTGATTACTGTAGCCTTGTAGTATAGTTTGGAGTCAGGTAGCATGATGCCTCCAGCTTTGTTCTTTTGGCTTAGGATTGAAATGGTGATGCGGGCTCTTTTTTGGTTCCATATGAACTTTAAAGTAGCTTTTTCCAATTCTGTGAAGAAAGTCATTGGTAGCTTGATGGGGATGGCATTGAATCTATAAATTACCTTGGACAGTATGGCCATTTTCATGATATTGATTCTTCCTACCCATGAGCATGGAATGTTCTTCCATTTGTTTGTATCCTCTTTGATTTCATTGAGCAGTGGTTTGTAGTTCTCCTTGAGGAGGTGCTTCACATCCCTTGTAAGTTGGATTCCTAGGTATTTTATTCTCTTTGAAGCAATTGTGAATGGGAGTTCACTCAAGATTTGGCTCTCTGTTTGTCTGTTATTGGTGTATAAGAATGCTTGTGGTCGGGCGCGGTGGCTCACGCCTGTAATCCCAGCACTTTGGGAGGCCGAGGCGGGCGGATCACGAGGTCAGGAGATCGAGACCATCCCGGCTAAAACGGTGAAACCCCGTCTCTACTAAAAATACAAAAAATTAGCCGGGCCTAGTGGCGGGCGCCTGTAGTCCCAGCTACTTGGGAGGCTGAGGCAGGAGAATGGCGTGAACCCGGGAGGCGGAGCTTGCAGTGAGCCGAGATCCCGCCACTGCACTCCAGCCTGGGCGACAGAGCGAGACTCCGTCTCAAAAAAAAAAAAAAAAAAAAAGAATGCTTGTGATTTTTGTACATTGATTTTGTATCCTGAGACTTTGCTGAAGTTGCTTATCAGCTTAAGGAGATTTTGGGCTGAGATGATGGGGTTTTCTAGATATACAATCATGTCATCTGCAAACAGGGACAATTTGACTTCCTCTTTTCCTAATTTAATGCCCTTTATTTCCTTCTCCTGCCTGATTGCCCTGGCCAGAACTTCCAACACTATGTTGAATAGGAGTGGTGAGAGAGGGCATCCCTGTCTTGTGCCAGTTTTCAAAGGGAATGCTTCCAGTTTTTGTCCATTCAGTATGATATTGGCTGTGGGTCTGTCATAGATAGCTTTTATTATTTTGAGATATGTCCCATCAATACCTAATTTATTGAGAGTTTTTAGCATGAGGGGTTGTTGAATTTTGTCAAAGGCCTTTTCTGCATCTATTGAGATAATCATGTGGTTTTTGTCTTTGGTTCTGTTTATATGCTGGATTACGTTTATTGATTTTCATATGTTGAACCAGCCTTGCATCCCAGGGATGAAGCCCACTTGATCATGGTGGATAAGCTTTTTGATGTGCTGCTGGATTCTGTTTGCCAGTATTTTATTGGGGATTTTTGCAGCGATGTTCATCAAGGATATTGGTCTAAAATTCTCTTTTTTGGTTGTGTCTCTGCCAGGCTTTGTATCAGGATGATGCTGGCCTCATAAAATGAGTTAGGGAGGATTCCCTCTTTCTCTATTGATTAGAATAGTTTCAGAAGGAATGGTACCAACTCCTCCCTGTACCTCTGGTAGAATTTGGCTGTGAATCCATCTGGTCCTGGACTTTTTTTGGTTGCTATTTTTTTGGTGAGCTATTAATTATTGCCTTTTTTTGGTAAGCTATTAATTATTGCCTCAATTTCAGAGCCTGTTATTGGTCTATTCAGAGATTCAACTTCTTCCTGGTTTAGTCTTGGGAGGGTGTATGTGTCGAGGAATTTATCCATTTCTTCTAGATTTTCTAGTTTATTTGCACAGAGGTGTTTATAGTATTCTCTGATGGAAGTTTGTATTTCTGTGGGATCGGTGGTGATATCCCCTTTATCTTTTTTTTTTTTTTTTGAGACGGAGTCTCGCTCTGTCATCCAGGCTGGAGTGCAGTGGCACGATCTTGGCTCACTGCAAGCTCCACCTCCTGGGTTCATGCCATTCTCCTGCCTTGGCCTCCTGAGTAGCTGGGACTACAGGCGCCTGCCACCACGCCCAGCTAATTTTTTGCATTTTTAGTAGAGACGGAGTTTCGCCATGTTGGCCAGGATGGTCTCGATCTCTTGACCTCGTGATCCACCTGCCTCGGCCTCCCAAAGTGCTGGGATTACAGGCGTCAGCCACCGCGCCCGGCCTCCCTTTATCATTTTTTATTGCATCTATTTGATTCTCCTCTCTTTTCTTCTTTGTTAGTCTTGCTAGTGGTCCATCAATTTTGTTGATCTTTTCAAAAAACCAGCTCCTGGATTCATTAATTTTTTGAAGGGTGTTCTGTGTCTCTATTTCCTTCAGTTCTGCTCTGATCTTAGTTATTTCTTGCCTTCTGCTAGCTTTTGAATGTGTTTGCTCCTGCTTCTCTAGTTCTTTTGATTGTGATATTAGGTGTCAATTTTAGATCTTTCCTGCTTTCTCTTGTGGGCATTTAGTGCTATAAATTTCCCTCTACACACTGCTTTGAATGTGTCCCAGAGATTCTGGTATGTTGTGTCTTTGTTCTCATTGGTTTCAAAGAACATGTTTGTTTCTGCCTTCATTTCATTATGTACCCACTAGTCATTCAGGAGCAGGTTGTTCAGTTTCCATGTAGTTGAGCTGTTTTGAGTGAGTTTCTTAATCCTGAGTTCTAGTTTGATTGCACTGTGTTCTGAGAGACAGTTTGTTATAATTTCTGTTCTTTTACATTTGCTGAGAAGTGCTTTACTTCCAACTATGTGATCAATTTTGGAGTAGGTGTGGCATGATGCTGAAAAGAAAGTATATTCTGTTGATTTGGGGTGGAGAATTCTGTAGATGTCTATTAGGTCTGCTTGGTGCAGAGCTGAGTTCAATTCCTGGATATCCTTGTTAACTTTCTGTCTCGTTGATCTGTCTAATGTTGACAGTGGGGTGTTAAAGTCTCCCATTATTATTGTGTGGGAGTCTAAGTCTCTTTGTAGGTCTCTAAGGACTTGCGTTATGAATCTGGGTGCTCCTGTATTGGGTGCATATATATTTAGGATAGTTAGCTCTTCTTGTTGAATTGATCCCTTTACCATTATGTAATGGCCTTCTTTGTCTCTTTGATCTTTGTTGGTTTAAAGTCTGTTTTATCCAAGACTAGGATTGCAACTGCTGCCTTTTTTTGTTTTCCATTTGCTTGCTAGATCTTCCTCCAATCCTTTATTTTGAGCCTATGTGTGTCTCTGCACATTAGATGGGTTTCCTGAATACAGCACACTGAAGGGCCTTGACTCTTTCTCCAATTTGCCAGTCTGTGTCTTTTAATTGGAGCATTTAGCCCATTTACATTTAAGGTTAATATTGGTATGTGTGAATTTGATCCTGTCATTATGATGTTAGCTGGCTATGTTGCTCATTAGTTGATGCAGTTTCTTCCTAACCTTGACGGTAGTTAGAATTTGGCATGTTTTTGCAGTGGCTGGTATCAGTTGTTCCTTTCCATGTTTACTGCTTCCTTCAGGAGCTCTTTTAAGGCAGGCCTGGTGCTGACAAAAATCTCTCAGCATTTGCTGGTCTGTAAAGGATTTTATTTCTCCTTCACTTATGAAGCTTAGTTTGGCTGGATATGAAATCCTGGGTTGAAAATTCTTTTCTTTAAGAATGTTGAAGATTGGCCCCCACACTCTTCTGCCTTGTAGATTTTCTGCAGACAGATCAGCTGTTATTCTGATGGGCTTCCCTTTGTGAGTAACCTGACCTTTCTCTCTGGCTGCCCTTAACATTTTTCCTTCATTTCAACTTTGGTGAATCTGACAGTTATGTGTCCTGGAGTTGCTCTTCTTGAGGACTATCTTTGTGGCATTCTCTGTATTTCCTGAATTTGAATGTTGGCCTGCCTTACTAGATTGGGGAAGTTCTCCTGGATAATACCCTGCAGAGTGTTTTCCAACTTGGTTCCATTCTCCCTGTCACTTTCAGGTACACCAATCAGATGTAGATTTGGTCTTTTCACATAGTCCCATATTTCTTGGAGGCTTTTTTCGTTTCTTTTTATTCTTTTTTCTCTAAACTTCTCTTCTCGCTTCATTTCATTCATTTCACCTTCCATCACTGATATCCTCTCTTCCAGTTGATTGCATCAGCTATTGAGGCTTGTGCATTCATCACGTAGTTCTCGTGCCGTGTTTTTCAGCTTCATCAGGTCCTTTAAGGACTTCTCTGTGTTGGTTATTCTAGTTATCCATTCGTCCAATTTTTTTTCATTTTCAACTTCTTTGCCATTGGTTTGAACTTCCTCCTTTAGCTCAGAGTAGTTTGATCTTCCGAAGCCTTCTTCTTTCAACTCGTCAAAGTCATTCTCTATCCAGCTTTGTTCCATTGCTGGTGAGGAGCTGCATTCCTTTGCAGGAAGAGAAGCGCTCTGATTTTTAGAGTTTCCAGTATTTCTGCTCAGTTTTTTCCCCATCTTTGTGGTTTTATCTATTTTTGTTCTTTGATGATGGTGACGTACAGATGGGTTTTTGGTGTGGATGTCCTTTCTGTTTGTTTGTTTTCCTTCTACCAGTCAGGACCCTCAGCTGCAGGTCTGTTGGAGTTTGCTGGATGTCCACTCCAGACCCTGTTTGCCTGGATATCAGCAGCAGTGGCTGCAGAACAGCAGATATTGGTGAACCTCAAATGCTGCTGCCTGATCATTCCTCTGGAAGTTTTGTCTCAGAGGTGACTGACACCATGTGAGGTGTCTGTCTGCCCCTACTGGCGATTGCCTCCCAATTAGACTACTCAGGGTCAGGGACCCACTTAAGGAGGCAGTCTGCCTGTTCTCAGATCTCAAGCTGCATGCTGGGAGAACCACTACTCTCTTCAAAGCTGTCAGACAGGGACATTTAAGACTGCAGAGGTTCCTGCTGCCTTTTGTTTGTCTGTTCCCTGCCCCCAGAGGTGGAGCCTATATAGGCAGGCAGGCCTCCTTGAGCTGTGGTGGGCTCCACCCAGTTTGAGCTTCCAGGCCACTTTGTTTACCTACTCAAGCCTCGGCAATGGCGGGCGCCCCTCCCCCAGCCTCGCTGCCGCCTTGCAGTTTGATCTCAGACTGCTGTGCTATCAATGAGGAAGGCTCCATGGGCGTAGAATCCTCTGAGCCATGTACGGGATATAATCTCCTGGTGTGCTGTTTGTTAAGCCTGTTGGAAAAGTGCAGTATTAGGGTGGGAGTGACCTGATTTTCCAGGTGCCGTCTGTCATCCCTTTCTTTGACTAGGAAAGGGGATTCCCTGACCCCTTGCGCTTCCCAGGTGAGGCGATGCCTCACCCTCCTTTGGCTCATGCACAGTGCGGTGCACCCTCTGTCCTGCACCCACTGTCTGGCACTGCCCAGTGAGATAAACCCAGTACCTCAGTTGGAAATGCAGAAATCACCTGTCTTCAGTGTCGCTCATGCTGGGAGCTGTAGCCTGGAGCTGTTCCTATTCAGCCATCTTGGCTCCCGATCCCCTCCCCTGTTTTCTGTCTTTTGTCTCTGCAATAGCAGTTCTACTACATTTTTCCTCAATGAGCTAAGAATTAAATGTATTGAGATCATAAATAGCTATGTTAGTAAACATTGTGATTCTGGCTGCACCCTGCATTAAGTTAAATTGTCAGAGAAATTTAGAGTATTTTAGTTATTTTGTTATTATCTTATAATTATTCTTTTGGCATTTCTGCATTTCACAAGGTTCTTTTCATGGAAATATCTAGTTAGGAAGAATAATACTTTTCTAAAATTGTGAGCTCAGTTTCTCAGGTTGCTGACTATTGCCACTGCACTAACCAACCTTCTTTCATCTGTCACATGAAACTCTCATAATCACTTTATGTTGTTGATATCCAGTCATAGGTCTCACAGTGCTGTTTATAGAATATGATCAAAGTGGTGGTGAACAAGAAATTATCAATATAATAATAAAACAGCCCAGTATTTTATTATATAAGTTGTATATGCATTTAATTTAAGCCAGACAGAATACAAGGATCTGTAGACAAATCATGCCATTTTTTAAAAATCTCAACAAATTTGACATTATTATAAAGATGAGGAAACAGATTTATTGAGCTTGATTTACTTTATTTTTTATTACATTCCCTTTCTTTGCTTCAGACATCTGATCTAAACATCTGCAGTATTTGTGATCAGTCTTTCGTTTTGGTACATTTAATGGTGTTATTTTTCCCACAACTACTCATGATTATATATATATACTTAGGGACTTACACAATTTTGAAAGTTAAGCAAGCACAGTGAGAATGAACTTGATTTGCACTGTCTGTCTCTGAGAGTGCTCAGGGACTTCTCCCTCAGCCCAAGGACAATCTGGTTGCCACGTCTTCTGGTGAGATCTGACATGTACATCCTGATTTATGTTTTTAATGTATCATATGGGACTGTTTTCTTTTATACTCTTACCAACCCATATGACCTCTAAGAATTTTTCTTTCATTCTTTTTTCCCCACATCTGTAAAATGTTATTGTAAATCCTATGATACTTCTATAATGGATGTGTCAGATTCACTGAGAGAAAATATAAGAAACACAGTAAAGTTTAAAATTGAGATAAGCAATGAATAACTTTTCAGTATAGCTATGCAATATTTGCATATTTGTTGTAATATGTTTAAGCAAGTATTGGAAGATATTTATACAAATAATAACCTTACCCAAAATTCAAATTGAGTCTAGTGTCTTATAATTTTTTAATTTTTAATTTTTGTGGGTATATAGGTGTACATATTTATAACATACACGAGATGTTTTGATACAGACATACAAAGTTAAATAATCACATCACAAAGAATGGGACATCCATCCCATCAAGCATTTATTTTTGTGTTGTGAACAATCTAATTACACTCTTTAAGTTATTTTAAAATGCACAATTATGTTATTATTGACTATAGTCACCCTATTGTGCTATCAAATAGCAACTGTCATTTATTCTAATTATTTTTTGTACCCATAAACAATGCCCACCTCACCCTAGCTCCCCACTATCCTCCCCAGCCTCTGGTAATCATCCTTGTACACTCTATGTTCATGAGATCAAGTGGGTTG
This sequence comes from Homo sapiens, assembly GCF_000001405.40. Lineage (NCBI taxonomy): Eukaryota > Metazoa > Chordata > Mammalia > Primates > Hominidae > Homo > Homo sapiens. The sequence goes on along the minus strand of NC_000012.12, from coordinate 34,131,736 downwards.
ATTTTGAGATCCCACAAATAAGTGAGAACATGTGATGTTTGTCTTTCTGTGCCTGGCTATTTCACTTAACATAATGATTTCCAGTTCCATCCATGGTCTTGCAGATGACTGGTTCTCATTCTTTTTTAAGGCTGAATAGTACTCCATTGTGTATATCTGCCACATTTTTTAATCCATTCTTAATGGACACTCAGGTTGCTTCCAAATCTTAGCTATTGCAAATAGTGCTGCAACAAACACAGGAGTATAGATATCTCAACATACTGATTTCCTTTCTTTAGGGTATATACCCAACAGTAGGATTGCTGGATAATGTGGTAGCTCAATTTTTAGTTTTTTGAGGAACTTCAAAACATAAAAAACCTCAAAACTATAAAACATTAGTGATGTTCTTTATAGTGGTTATACTAATTTACATTCCCCCCAACAGTATATGAGGGTTCCCTTTTCTCCAAATTCTCACTAGCATTTGTTATTTCCTGTATTTTGAATATAAGCAATTTTAACTCCAGTGAGATGATATCGCACTGCAGTTTGAATTTGCATTTCTCTATCAGTGATGTTGAGCACCTTTTCATATGCCTGTTTGCCATTTGTATGTCTTCTTTGGAGAAATATATATTCAAATCTTTTTTGCCATTTATGACCAGGTTATTAGATTTTTTTTGTAGAGTTGTTTGAGCTCCTTATATATTGTGATTATTAATCCTTTGTCAGATGGATAGTTTGCAATTATTTTTTCCCATTTTATGGGTTGTCTGTTCACTTTCTTGGTGTGTTATACTTTATTTTTCATTTATTATTTTAATTTTATTTTTCTATAAGTTGTTGGGGTACAGATGGTATTTGGTTACATGAGTAAGTTCCTTAGCGGTGATTTGTGAGATTATGATGCACCCATTACCCAAGCAGTATACACTGCACCATATTCATACTCTTTTATTGCTCGCCTCCCTCCCACTCTTCCCCCCAAGTCCCCAAAGTCCATTACATCATTCTTATGCCTTTGTGTCCTTAGCTTATTTCCTACATATCAGTGAGAACATACGATGTTGAGTTTTCCGTTCCTGCATTACATCACTTAGAACTATAGTCTCCAATCTCATCCAGGTCACTGCAAATGCTGTTAATTCATTCCTTTCTATGGCTACATAGTATTCCATCATATATATATATATATATATATATATATATATATATATATATATATATACACCACAGTTTCTTCATCCACTTGTTGATTGCTGGGGACTTGGGTTGGTTCCCTGATTTTGTGGATTGTGCTGCTATAAACATGCATGTGCAAGTATCTTTTTTGAATAATGACTTATTTTCCTCTGGGTAGATACATGGTAGTGGGAATGCTGGATCAAATGGTAGTTCTAGTTTTAGTTCTTTAAGGAATCTCCACATTGTTTTTCATAGTGGCTGTACTAGTTTACATTCCCACCAGCAGTGTAGAAGTGTTCCCTGTTTACTGCATCCATGGCAACACCTACTTTTTTTTTATTTTTGGGTTGCAGGAGGTAAGGTGGCATTGCATTGTGGTTTTGATTTGCATTTCCCGCATCATTAGTGATGTTGAGCATTTTTATTTATGTTTGTTGGCCATTTGTATATCTTCTTTTGAGAACTGTCTATTCATATCCTTAGCCCATTTTTTGATGGGGCTGCTTGTTTTTTTCTTACTGATTTGTTTGAGTTTGTTGTAGATTCTGGATATTAGTCCTCTGTCAGATGTATAGATTATGAAGATTTTCTCCCACTCTGTGGGTTGTCTATTTACTCTTCTGACTGTTCCCTTTGCCATGCAAAAGCTCTTTAGTTTAATTAGGTCCCAGCTATTTATCTTTATTTGTATTGCATTTGCTTTTGGGTTCTTGGTCATGACATCCTTGCCTATGCCAGTGTCTAGAAGGGTTTATCCAGTGTTATCTTCTAGAATTTTTATGGTTTCAGGAATTAGGTTTAAGTTCTTAATCTATCTTGAGTAGGTTTTTGTATAAGGTGAGAGATGAGAATCCAGTTTTATTTTCCTACATGTGGCTCACCAATTATCCCAACATCATGTGTTGAAAAGGTGTCCTTTCCCCACTTTATGTTTTCATTTACTTTGTCGAAGATCAGTTGGCTGTAAGTATTTGGGTTAATTTCTGGGTTCTCTCTTCTGTTCCATTGGTCTATATGCCTATTTTTAAACCAGTACCATGCTGTTTGGTAACTATGGCCTTATTGTACAGTTTGAAATCAAGAGGTGTGATGCCTCCAAGTTTATTCTTTTTGCTTAGTCTTGGTTTGGCTATGTGGCTCTCTTTTTGTTCCACATGAATTTTAGAATTGTTTTTGTAATTTTGTGAAGAACGATGGTGGTATTCAGATGGGGATTGCATCGAGTTTGTAGATTGCCTTTAACAGAATGGTAATTTTCACAATATTGATTCTACCCATCCATAATCATGGGGATGAGTTTCCATTAGTTTGTGTCATCTATGATTTCTTTTCTTTCTTGTGTGTTTTGTTTGTTTGTTTGTTTTTGAGGGAGTTTCACTCTTGTCACCAAGATGGGAGTGCAATGGCATGATCTCGGCTCACTACAACCTCCGCCTTCCGGGTTCAAGCCATTCTCCTGCCTCAGCCTCCTGAGTAGCTGGGATTACAGGCGTGCAGTACCATGCTTGGCTACATCTATGATTTCTTTCAGCAGTGTTTTGTAATTTTCATTGTAGAGGCCTTTAGATTCCTTTGCTAGGTATATTCCTAAGTTTTTTGTTTTTTTGTTTGTTTTTGTTTTGTTTTGTTTTGCAGCTATTGTGAAAGGGGTTGAGTTCTTGATGTGATTCTCTCCTTGGTAGCTGTTGGTGTTGAGAAGAGCTACTGATTTGTGTATATTAATCTTGTATCTGGAAACTTTGCTGAGTTCTTTTACCAGTTCTAGGAGCTTTCTAGAGGAGTCCACAGGGTTTTCAAGGTCAAAGATCATATTGTCAGCAACCAGTAACAGTTTGACTTCCTCTTTACTGATTTGGATTTCCTCTCTTTCTTTTTTTCTGATTGCTCTGGCTAGGACTTCCAGTACTATGTTGAAGAGGAGTGGTGAGAATGGACATCCTCGTCTTGTTCCAGTTCTCAGAGGGAATGCTTTCACCTTTTCCCCATTCAGTATTATGTTGGCTGTGGGTTTGTCATAGATGGCTTTTACTGCATTAAGATATGTCCCTTCTATGCCTATTTTGCTGATGCATCTGTTGATATGATCATGTGAGTTTTGTCTTTAATTCTGTTTATGTGGTGTATCACATTTACTGACATGCATATTTTAAACCATTCCTGTCTCCCTGGTATGCAACCCACTTGATCACGGTGGATTATCTTTTTGATATGTTGTTGGATTCGGTAAGCATTCGGTAAGCTAGTATTTTGTTAAGGATTTTGGCATCTATGTTCATCAAGGATATTGGACTGTAGTTTTCTTTTTTGGTTATGTCCTTTCATGGTTTAGTATTAGGGTGATGCTGGCTTCATAGAATGAATTAGGGAGGGTTCCTTCTTTCTCTATCTTATAGAATGGTGTGAAAGGATTGGTATCAACTCTTCTTTGAATGTCTGGTAGGATTCTGCTGTGAATCTGTCTGGTCCTTGGATTTTTTGTTGGTAATTTTAAAATTACCATTTCAATCTTGCTGCTTGTTATTGGTCTGTTTAGGGTATCTAATTTTTCCTGACTTAAGCTAGGACATTTGTATTTTTCTAGGAATTTATCCATCTCTTCTAGGTTTTCTAGTTTATGTGCCTAAAGGTGTTCATAGTACCCTTGAATGATCTTTAATATTTCAGTGGTGTCAGTTGTAATATCCCCTGTTTCATTTCTTAGTGAGGTTAGTTGGATTTTCTCTCTTCTTTTCTTGGTTAATCTTGTTAATGGTCTATCAATTTTATTTGTCCTTTCAAAGAACCAATGGAACAGGAATTAAACGAAATTAAAGAATATGTAAGCAAAAACTCAGTTGTATGTAAGAAAACCCAATTCCCCCTGAGAAAGAGAAAGAGGTGGAGTCCTTTAAAAATTAACTGCCTGTTTTTCTGTCTGGCTAGTGAGCCTTATCTCTCACTTTCCCAGGCATTGTGAAGACCGTTTCTCTAGCTATGCAGCTGCAAGGTCACTAGACAGATAAACTTAAGTTGTAAAACATGTTTTTTCTTGAAAAGTAACAAATGATGTAATACAAGTCTCAACTGAATAACTGTCTTTGTTTCTCACTTCTGTAATATGCTTCCCCTACACAGATCTCCCCCAACCCTACAAAATGCTTAAAAGGTAACTTGACTCTTTGTTTGGGGGCTCAGTCATTTTTGAATGTTAATCTGACTGGGCTGGTGGACCTAAATAATAATAATAATAAATCCTCCTCAACTTCTCAGTCTTTCTGATTCCTAAATTATCCCGAAACATTTCTGGTGGCCCATACAGGGATCAGAGATGACAGATTTACTGTCTCCTTTGTCTGTGGGACTAGAGCCCCAGGGCCGGGGGAGACCCAGCATGCAAGGTGCACCCTAGGGTACCTTCACCTGGATGGAGACCAGCTCTCCCTGCATCCTGGCAGCCTACCCAGCAGCAAAACAGAACTGGGGATGAGGCTACAGGACAATACTAGCACTTCAGGAACTGCGGTAAGGAGAAACTGCCCAAGGCAGGAAAGCCCATCCCATAGGGAGGAAGTGGAGCTTGATCACCTCCTGGGGACTGACCACTAATCCAACCTAGAGTGGCTGGGGGTGGCAGGAGTGGCCTGCCAATTTGGATGAATCTCATGTTCCCCTAACAAAGTAAAAGTGGTTCACTGGTGGAGAAAAAGGGCTGATAGAGAGGCAAGTGCAGCAAGGAAGAGCTTGCTGGCAGGGTGGCAAGAGTGGCTTGCAACCCCAACTGGGAGTGTGTGGGTGTGTGTGGACCTACCTGGGACACAAGAGAGACTCATTTCATCCCATGAGGAGTCCTGGGGTAGGAGTGGTGTGTGTACGTGTGTGAATGTGGAAGCCTAACTAGGCTCACCTGGGACATGAGAGAGGCTCATTTCATCCAGTGAGGAGTCCTCAGGTGGGGGAGGTGTGTAAAAGTGTGTGAAAGAAACGGTCTTGGGAGAGGCCAATGTGGGGAGTGATGGGGAGGCACAGAGCCCTTAGCGCAGGCTGTGTGCTCTGAGGCGACTGTGGGGGAAAATCAGACCTAGGACATTGTGTATGGCTGATAGGACCAGCTCCATGTCTGCAGCAGGCTGTAAGAGGGGAAGGAACGTTCCTAGCTAAACACTGTCCAAAATTCCTGTAATAGGACCCGGTCTGGTGAACCTGAGAGTAAAAGTAAAAGTGAAAGTGCACCGCAAGGAAGAAAATGAAAGGAAAAGTGTCTAAACTAACTCCCTTGGAGTGCACGATAAACAATTTTAAAAAAGGATTTAGAGGTGATTATGCGATAAAACCGGATGCTCAAAAGTTAAGGACATACTGTGAGATAGACTGGCCTGCTTTCAATGTGGGGTGGCCCTCTGAAGGTACAATAGACAGGGAATGAATTGGCCATGTGTTTAAGGTGGTCACTGGAGTTGAAGGACAACCAGGATACCCAGACCAGTTTACGTATATAGACTCTTGGTTCAATGTGGCACAAACTCACCCCAAGTGGCTACAGCCCTGCCTAGAGGGATATTGCAAGGCATTAGTGGCTCAGGCAGCCCAACCAAAGGAAGCAGAGGAACCTAAAACCCCTAGCATCTCCCAGGAAAAGGAATCCTTGAAGCCTTAGCCAAAACCAGTTCTTCGGGCTCCACCTGAGGAAAGGGAATGTCTGCCCCCATAGGTGCCAGTCTACCCATCTTTGGCTAGAATAAAGCAGGAGGCAGAGTCAGGAGCATCCACAGAGTCGGGCTCAGAGGAAAGTGAGGCTCAGTCTCCCCAAACCCAGAGGAACAGAAGCCCCTGTTAGAGAAAAACAAAAGAGAAGGACAGGACAAGGCAGCTGGGCACCTCCACTCAGGCTGATCACGGGATTTGCAGATGCCACTTAGAGAAACCAGGACACAAGTTTATGATGAACAGGGGCAGATACAAGGTGGCCCTAGGCTTTATGTTTATCAGCCTTTCTCCACTACTGATCTCTTAAATTGGAAACAGCACAACTCCTCCTATACAGAAAAGCCTCAGGCTCTTATTGATTTGGTAAATTCTATTATTAACACACATAACCTGACCTGGCCGGATTTTGAATAACTTTTGCTAAGTTTATTTAATACAGAGGAGCGTAAAAGAGTTAATCAGTCAGCTCTCAGCTGGTTAGAAGGGGAAGCCCCAGAGACCACCCCTAATCCGCACCAGTTCACCATGGAGCGATACCCAAATGATGACCCTAACTGGGACCCAAATGAGGCAAGGGACATGGAACGGCTGCAGCTATATAGAAAGACACTCCTAAATGGGATAAAAGCAGGAGAAACGAAGGCAATAAATAAAAGTAAAATATCAGAAGTGCGCCAAAAGCCTGATGAAAGCCCAAGTGCATTCTATAAAAGGCTTTGTGAGGCATATAGACTATACACTCCAGTTATTCTGGAGGCTCCTAAAAACCAAATTATGATAAATATGACCTTTGTCAGGCAAGCTCAGGGAAACATAAGACAAAAGCTTCAGAAGCTAGAAGGCTTTGCAGGAAAAAATATTAGTAAACTCCTGAAAATAGCAAACAAAATATATGTAAACCGGAAGGAAGAGGCAGAAAGAAAGAAAAAAAATAAAAAAAAAATTAAAAATAAAAATAAAAACAAAAAGACAAGTCAGTTTGTAGCTACTGCACTAACAGAAAGTAACCCTGGATTTGCTAGAGGGCATAGCCAAGGCAGAGGCCAAGGAAGAGGGCAGACAAGACCGGGAGAGGAAAGCCAGTGCCGGTTGGACAGCAACCAATGTACAAGGTTCAGGCAAATCGGCCACTGGAAAAATGAGTGCCCCGATAAAAAAAAAAAAAGAATGAAGATGATAGTCAATGGTCTAACACTCGAGGACAGCATTCGGTTGCTAGTCATGGTGCTTCAAAGGCAGATCCTGATCTGATCAGCTTAGCGGGGGCCAAGCATTTAGAGGACTAAGACAGACCGGGCTCCATCCTTTAGGCCCCGGGGAGCCTATGGTCTCTATGGAAGTAGGAGGCCAATTAATGAAATTTTTGGTCAATACTGGTGCTGATTTCTCTGTGGTAACTCACCCAATTAGCCCCCCCCCCCCCACAAAAAATTGTGCCACTATCATAGGGGCTACTGGGGCCAAAAAACGGAGACCTTTTTACAAATCCAAGAGATGTGTTATTGGGGGACAAGAAGTACAGCATGAGTTCCTATACATGCCAAACTGTCCAGTGCCCTTGTTGGAAAGAGACTTACTCCAGAAACTGCAGGCACAGATTTCCTTTACACCTAAAGGGAATATGACCCTGGAGATAGGGAAGCCAAAGGCAATGGTATTGACTCTAACTGTCCCAAAAACTGAGGAATGGCGGCTCTATAAACTGTGTACCAGGAGGCTGCCAGAGCCAGACCTACACAATATGTAGGGAATGCTTTTCAAGGTACCAGGTGTATGGACTGAGGACAACCCCCCCTGGGCTTGCTGCAAACAGACCCCCAGTGGTAGTAGAGCTTAACCCTCATGCTGCCCCGGTACCAGTCCGTCAATACCCCCTCCCCAGAGAGGCAATTGATGACATAACAAAACATTTAAATCAGCCCTATAAACAAGTGATTATAGTAAAATGCAAGTCTTCCTGGAATACTCCTCTGCTGCCTGTTCGCAAGCCAAATGGTGAATACAGGCCAGTGCAGGACCTCCAGGGTGTAAACAAAGCCACTGTCACTATCCATGCCATAGTACCCAACCTATACACAATGTTGGGGTAGATTCCTGCTGAGGCCGCGTGGTTCACGTGTCTGGACTTAAAGGACGCTTTCTTTTCCTTGAGACTGCTTCCCAAAATCAGCCTATATTTGCCTTCCAGTGGAGACAATCGCAGTATACCTGGACAAGGCTGCCACAAGGGTTTAAGAATTCTCCTAGGTGGGAATTGAACAATGAGATCACATGGACACAGGAAGGGGAATATCACACTCTGGGGACTGGGGTGGGGAGGGGGGAGGGGGGAGGGATAGCATTGGGAGATATACCTAATGCTAGATGACGAGTTAGTGGGTGCAGCGCACCAGCATGGCACATGTATACATATGTAACTAACCTGCACAATGTGCACATGTACCCTAAAACTTAAAGTATAATTAAAATAATAATAATAATAATAATAGTAATAATAATTAAAAAAATAAAATAAAATAAAAAAAGAATTCTACTATTTTCGAGGAGGCTTGGGCTACCGACCTTGAGGCTTTTGCGCCACCTAGTGACAATTGTGTGCTATTACAACACATTGATGATTTGCTCTTCGCTGCCCCCATGAGGGAGAAATGCCTCTAAGGAACAGAGAGGCTTCTTCACTTGCTGCGTGAAGCTGGTTACATAGTGTCCAAGGACAAGGCAAAAGTCTGCTTTCGGGAGATTGAATATCTAGAATTCATGGTATTCCAAGGCCAGTGCAGACTTAAAAGTGCATGCAAGGAGGCTGTATGTGCATTGCCCACCCCAGTTACAAGGTGGCAGGTCAGGGAATTTCTAGGTGCAGCGGGATTCTGCCGAACCTGGATTCCCAACTTCTCCCTTATAGCAAGGCCCTTATATGAGACTACCGAAGAAAAAAAAAGAGGGCTGCTCCTGTGGAAAAAGAAACAAGAAAAGGCCTTCAAAGATACAAAGGAAGCTCTCATCCAAGCTCCGACGCTAGTGTTGCCAGATGTAAAAAAAAAGTCCTTCTTTTTGTACGTGGATAAACAAAAGGGAATGACAGTCGGAGTCTTAACTCAATTGTTGGGTTCTTGGCATCAGCTGGTAGCATACTTACCCAAAGACTGGATTTGGTGGCCTTAGGTTGGACCCACTGCTTCAGGGCGTTGGCAGCTACTGCAATCCTTATAGAAGATGCCAACAAGCTAGCCCTAGGTCAAAAGTTAATAGTTAGGGTGCCACACGCTGTAATCACCTTAATGGAGCAAAGAGGACATCGTTGACTGTCCAATTCTAAAATGCTAAAGTATCAAGGGCTTCTGTATGACAATCCCCAGATAACACTAGAGACTGTAAATACCTTAAACCCAGCTACCCTGCTGCCTGTGGAGAAACCTGATTGAAAGGACGGTGGATTGCCTCACTGCTGGCAGGATCTTCCCCACTGTTGCATAAATACGGTGGACAAAGTGTTCTAGAGCTGGGAAGATCTCAGAGATACCCCCTTGGAGAGCTCAGATGTTAAATACTTCACTGATGGCAGCAGTTTCATAACAGATGGGGTATGATATGCAGGGTATGCGCAGTAGTGACCCAGCACTCGGTGGTTGAGGCTCAGGCCTTACCTTCTGGGACTTCTGCTCAGAAGGTTAGATTAATAGCATTAACCAGAGCACCGTTATTGGCCAAGAAAAAAAGTAAACATATATACTGATCAAGATATACTTTTACAATCCTGCATGCCCGTTGGACAATATACAAAGAGACAGGAGTTTTGACTACTAAAGGCAAAAAAAAAAAAATTGCAATTATTAAAAACCATATGGGCTCCAGAGAAAGTGGCTGTCATTCATTGCAAAGGACACCAAATTGAGAAAAGCTGAGATGCAGGGCAACAGAAAGGTAGACCGAGAGGCTGGGCGGGCAGCAATGAGCAAGGCTTTACCTGAAAAAAAAAACTTTATCAATTCCTCTCCTTATAGAGCCCCCTTTGCTGGAGGTACCCAATTACTCTTCAGTAAAAAAAACTTGGTTTGGTCAGAAAACAAAAAAATATATTAAAGGTGGATGGTGGCTGTTCTCTAACAGGAGGCTAGCCATCCCAGGGACAATAGCCCCAAGGTTTGTGACACAGATCCATCAAGGAACACACATTGGAAGGACAGCCCTAGAAACTTTGATAGGTTGGCATTTCTATGTGCCACAGCTCTCTGCCATCACCTGTACTGTTTGTAAACAAGGTCTATCCTGTGCCCAGAATAATCCAAAACAAGGACCTACTCGACCTCCAGGAATTCAGGAAGTAGGGGCTGTGCCTTGTGAAAACCTGCTTGTAAACTTTACTGAGTTACCTCTAGCAGGAGGTTACCAATATATGCTAATGTTTGTTTACACCTGCTTGGGGTGGATTGAGGCCTTCTCCACCAGGACTAAAAAGACAAGAGAGGTGACAAAGGTACTACTAAAAGACATCATACCAAGATTTGGGTTTCTTTTAACCCTAGGATCAGACAATGGTCCTGCATTTGTGGCAGATGTAGTACAACAGCTGACTCAACTTTTAAAGATCAGATGGAAACTGCATACAGACTACTGACCACAGAGCTCAGGGAAGGTAAAATGGATGAACTGGACACTCAAACAGCTACTAAAAAAGTTTTGCCAGGAAACTCACGATGGGATCATGTCTTGCCCATGGTCCTCCTCCAGGTCAGGTGTACACCTACAAAACAAACTGGGTATTTGCTCTATAAAATATTGTTCGGAAGGCCACCCCCAATTATTAATCAAATTAGAGGGAATTTAAAGTAGTTAGAAAAGTTAATTCTTAGAAGACAGATGCAGGCTTTAGGAGTAACAATGCAGGAGGGGCAAAGCTGGATAAGAAAAAGAATACCTGTAAGTCTAACAGACCCAGTGCATCCACATAAGCCGGGGGACTCTGTCTGGGTTAAAAGGTGAAATTCAACAACCCTGGGGCCCTTATGGGATGGGCCCCATATTATAATCATGTCTACTCCTACTGCTTTTAAAGTTACAGCTGTCACACCTTGGATTCACCATAGCCGACTGAAACCAGTGGCAGCAGTGACTCCCAATGATGACCATTGGATTAGCCAACAAGACCCAGATCACCCCACCCGAATGGGCCTACGGCGAAACCCAACCACCAGTAAGAAGGACAATTGCCTTGCTCTGACCACACTGGAGACTGGTCAGTCTACCCAGAGCTGAAGCTTGAGAATCCTGCAAGCTCTGCTCTAGTCACATCCTGGAATCTGACTAGTCCACACACAGCCGAAGCTAAGAGGGCCATCACTGAATAAGTAAATATGAATACAATTTATAACCCTAGTTATAATTCTGTTAATACTGATTTTTATGTTGTTATGTTATTACTGCAAATGCTGCAAATGTCTATGCCCAGAGGAAGGTTTGCCGTGCTCATGCGTAGTGTAAGCATGTTTCTAATACATACACTGATGTTGTTACCATTTCTGCCTATACTAGAAGGGGAAAAATCTTTAGACGGATGCCCACACTGTGTACACACTACCTAGGTAAAAAATATCATAGTTAAAACTCTACTGTGCCATACCTACTATGAATGTACAGAAACCAAGTTAGGAACATGCACATACAACCAGACCACCTATTCACTCTGTGACTGAGGAAATAATCAGCTATATGTATGTTATGACCCTGAGCTCTTACCTTATGAATTCTGGTTTGAGGTACATATTAAATCAGAAAAGAAAAAAAGAAACTTATACCTCAAACCAAAGAAGCCTCTCCCTCCTATAAAGGGCCTATTTCCTTGTACTTTAATTCCTGCCATGCTGCATATGTTCCTAATCCTAAAAAAACAGAAGCTGTCTCCAATGGTTTAACACAAAAGAGGCTTAGCAGAAGCAGCCCTAAACATAGGTATGAAAAAACACAAATCAGATGTCCAGACTGTAACATTCAGTGGTCTATGCTAACACAACTCCAACACTTATATTCAGGAAGGACTGCTCTGCTACATAGTATGTCAACCAAAGCAAATTCTAAGACAAGGACACGCAATCCTTTAAATTTTACTCTTCTAAAGCCAGAGCTATCTTTTTGGCCTACAGGACAGACAGCACTATTATGGGTTAATAGACAAGGAGCAGGCCTTGGAGTTCCACTACTAATTGCCAAAAAGACTAGAAGGACTCAAATGCATCCAACCCTGCAATTCTGGGTTTATAAGTCATTCTATAAGCATTTTAATCAGTCAGTGACAGCTTCCTCCATCAATCAAAAACTTATTTACTCAACTAACTAAAAACATAGCTGGCAGCTTAGTAATTTCCTCATGCTACGTGTGTGAAAAAACTAATATGGGGGACGAGTTGCTATGGGAGGCTAAGAAATTAATGCCGCAAGATAACTTCACTTTGCCTAACCGTGCCAGTGAACCAACAGCCTCAGCCAGTGTTCGGTTGTTAAAAACCTCCATAATTGGAAAGTACAGTATTGCCTGATGGGGAAAGACTTTCACAGAGACAGTAGAAAAAACAACCTGCCTAGGACAACAGTATTATGATAAGACTAAAAACAAAACTCTATGGAGAAATGCCCAGAAGGACTCTTACTTACCAGATCCAAATCCCTTTTCTCGATTCTCTACCCTAAGCCACACTTGGCATCAGCTACAGGCTCCAAATGCTTGGAAAGCACCCTCTGGCCTATATTGGATCTGTGAAGCATGGGCATATCGGCAACTGCTGGCTACATGGACAAGGACATGTGTGTTAGAAACAATCAAGCCATCCTTCTTTTTAATTCCTCTAACGAAAGGGGAATTCTTAGGGTATCCAGTTTATAATAAAAATTAAAAAAAAAATAAAACTAAAAAAACCATAATCACAAAAATAAACACAAATGTCAAAAAAAAAGTAAACATAGAAGACTAAAAAGATAATAAATGGCCTCCAGAAAAAAATCACTAAATATTATGGGCCAGCTACCCAGGTGCAAGATGGGTCATGGGGGTACCATACCCCAATCTATGTGCTCAACCGCATCATAAGGTTACAGGCTGTCCTAGAAATTATAACCAATAAAATGTCAAGGGCACTAAATTTATTGACAATACAAGCAACACAAAAAAATGCTATATATCAAAATAAATTGACTTTAGATTATCTCTTAGTCTCAAAAAAGTAAGTAAAAATTTAATTTAACCAACTGTTGCCTAGAAATTGATAATAATGGCCGAGCTGTCATAAAAATCACAGCTAAAATGCACAAGTTGGCCCATGTTCCAGTTCAGACTTGGTCTGGATGGTCCCTGGATTCCTCGTTTGGAAAATGCTTCTCAACTTTTGGAGAATTCAAAACCCTCATTGGTGGGTTTTTGTTTATTCTTGGCATCTGCCTCATCCTGCCTTGCCTTTTACCTCTGTTTATTAGGAGCATTCAGTCAACTATAGAGACAGTAGTAACCCGATACACTATCCTATCGCACAGTTGATGGCATTAACCAAATATCAGCCACTGCCAGTAAAAGAAGAAGCTCAGCTCCACAAAAAGGTGACATAAAGTGGTGCTTTCTATTAACACCTTTGTTATCAAAAGCACTAAAGGCAGGAAATGGAAGAGGAATTAAGAGAAATTAAAGGATGTGTAAGGAAAAACTCAGTTGTATGTAAGAAAACCCAATTCCCCCTGAGGTCAAGAAAGAGGTGGAATCCTTTAAAAATTAACTGCCTGTTTTTCTGTCTGTGGCTAGTGAGCCTTATCTCTCCCTTTCCCAGGCATTGTGAAGACCCTGTTTCTCTAGCCGTGCAGCTGCAAGGTCACTAGACAGAAAAACTCAAGTCATAAACATGTTTTTTCTTGAAAGGTAAGAAATGATGTAATGCAAGTCTCAATTGAATAACTGTCTTTGTTTCTCTCTTCTGTAATATGCTTCCCCCTGCACAGATCTCCCCCCACCCCACAAAATGCTTAAAAGGTAACTTGACTCTTTGTTCAGGGCTCAGTTTTTTTTGAATGTTAATCTGACTGGGCCAGTACGCCTAAATAATAATAATAATAATCAATCCTCCTCAACCCCTCTTTCTCTCTGATTCCTAAATTATCCCACAACACCAACTTTTTGTTTTATTTATTTTTTGTATTTTGTTGTTGTTGTTGTTTTGTCAATTCTATTTAGTTCTGCTCTGATCTTGGTTATTTCCTTTGTTTGCTGGGTTTGGGTTTGTCTTGTTCCTGGTTCTCTAGTTCCTTGAGGTGTGACCTTAGATTGCCTGTTTGTGCTCTTTCAGACTTTTTGATGTAGGTGTTTAGGGCTATAAATTTTTCTCTTAGCACCGCCTTTGCTGTATCACAGAGGTCTTGAGGATTGTGTCATTATTGTCATTCAGTCCAAAGAATTTTTTTAAATTTCCATCTCAATTTTGTTTTTGACCCAATGCTCATTCAGAAGCAGGTTATTTAATTTCCATGTATTTGCATGGTTTTGAAGATTCCTTTTGGAGTTGATTTTCAGTTTTATTCCACTGTGATCTGAGAGAGTGCATGATACAATTTCAATTTTCCTAAATTTATTGAGAACCTTTTTATGGCCTATCATATGGTCTGTCTTGGAGAAAGTTCCATGTGCTGTTTAATAGAATGTGTATTCTGTGGTTGTTGGATGAAATGTTTTGTATATATGTGTTAAGTCCATTTATTCCAAGGTGTAGTTTAAATACATTGTTTCTCTGTTGACTTTCTGTCTTGATGACCTGTCTAGTGCTGTCAGTGGAGTATTGAAGTCCCCCACTATTATTGTGTTGCTGTTTATCTCATTTCTTATGTCTACTAGTAATTACTTTATAAATTTGGAAGCTCCAGTGTTAGGTGCATATATGTTTAGGATTGTCACATTTTTCTTTTGGACGAGACCTTTTACCATTCATTATACACTGTCTCTCTTTGTCTCTTTTAGCTACTGTTGCTTTAAACTTTCTTTTGTCTCATATAAGAATAGCTACCACTGCTCACCTTTGGTGTCCATTTGCATGAAATGCCTTTTTCTACCACTTTCCTTAAGTTTATGTAAGTCCTTATGTGTTAGGTGAGTCTACTGAAGGCAGCAGATAGTTAGTTGGTGAGTTCTTATCCATTCTGTGGTTCTGCACTTTGTAAGTGGAGCATTTAGGCCATTTACATCCAACGTTAGTATTAAAATTTGAGGTGCCATTGCTTTCATCATGCTCTTTGTTGCCTCTGTACGTTGTTTTCATTTTTTGTTTTTGCTTTTTAACTTGTATTTTTGTTTTATAGGTTCTGTGTGATTTATGCTTCAACGAGGTTCTGTTTTGATGTGTTTCCAGGACTTGCTTCAAGATTTAGAGCTCCTTTTAGCAGTTTTTACAGTGCTGGTTTGGTAATGGTGAATTCTGTCAGCATTTGTTTGTCTGAAAATGACTGTATCTTTTCTTCCTGTATGATGCTTAGTTTTCGTGGATACAAAATTCTTGGCTGATGATTGTTTTGTTTGAGGAGGCTGGAGAAAGGGCCCCAATCCCATCTAGCTTGTAAGGTTTCTGCTGAAAAATCTGCTGTTAATTTGATAGGTTTTAATTTATAGCTTACCTAGTGCTTCTGTCTCACATCTTAAGATTCTTTCCTTTGTCTTAACTTTGGAAAACCTAATGAAAATGTGCCTAGGCTAAGATCTTTTTGTGATGAATTCCCCAGGTGTTCTTTGTGCTTCTTGTATTTGGATGTCTAGGCCTCTCACAAGGCCAGAGAAGTTTTCCTTTTTTATTCCCCCAAATATGTTTTCCCGGCTTTTAGAATTCACTTCTTCCTCAGGTACCTCGATTATTCTTAGGTTTCATCATTTAACAGAATGCCAGACTCCTTGGAGGCTTTGCTCATATTTTCTTATTCTTTTTTCTTTGCCTTTATTGGATTGAGTTAATTCAAAGACCTTGTCTTCAAACTCTGAATTTCTTTCTTCTACTTGTTCAATTCTATTGCTGAGACTTTCCAGAGCATTTCACATTTCTAAAAGTGCATCCAAAGTTTCCTGAATTTTTTATTGTTTTTTTCTTTAAGCTATCTACTTCCTTGAATATTTCTCCCTTCACTTCTTGCATCATTTTATTGGATTTTCTTGCATTGGGCTTTGCCTTTCTCTAGCCTCTCCCTGATTAGCTTAATACCTAACCTGAATTATTTTTCAGATTAATCGGGGGTTTCTTCTTGGTTTGGATCCACTGGTGATGAACTAGTGTGATTTTTGGGGGGGTGTTGAAGAGCCTTGTTTTGTCAGATTACCAGGGTTGGTTTTCTGGTTCCTTCTCATTTGAGTAGCCTCTGTCAGAGGAAAGGTCTAGGGCTGAAGACTGTTGTTCAGACTCTTTTGTCCCACGGGGTGTTCCCTTGACATAGTGCACTCCCCCTTTTCCTATGGGTGTGGCTTCCTGCAAGCTGAAGTGCATTGATTGTTGTCTCTCTTCTGGGTCTAGCCACCCATCAGGTCTACCTGGCTTTGGGATGGTGCTAGGGGTTGTCTGCACAGAGTCCTGTGATGTGAGCCATCTATGGGTCTCTCAACCATGGATCCCAGTGCCTGTTCCAGTGGAAGTGGTGAAGGGTGCAGTAGACTCTGTGAGGGTCCTTAGCTTTGGTGGTTTAAGGCTCTATATTTGTGCTGGTTGGCCTCTTGCCAGGAGGTGGTACTTTCCAGAAAGCATCAGCTGTAGTAGTGTGGAGAGGGACAGGCAGTGGGCAGGGCCCTAGGATTCCCAAGATTATATTTCCTTTATCTTTCACTACCAACTTAAACATTTGTGACAATTTCAATATCAGAAATTTATGTGTAATCTAATTTATTCTGGTAGTTTAAATTCTGGTAGCTTATTTTCTTATATGCTTCAATCTTTATAATTTAGTTCTCACATGAGGGAGATCTAATATTGGAAATCTTTTCAATGTGTATGTTTATGTATTTATTCTAGTTGTCCTGGCACAAGATTATCAATACTGCTGTGTGACCAGCCATTGGCTTTTCACATTTACAACTCCTCTGAATTTTTTCTTACCTCATTTCTGGTGCTGGGGAATTCTGATATTTTCTCCTCATCTCCATTGTATATTTTAGGGATTCTTGAAACTTTTGATGCACAAACATCCACACTTTCCACTTAAGTAAAATATTTTACTTAGATATTTTCTAGCAGACACTGAGTTCTCATGAAAAATCCTCAATCTCTTTATTTGGAACACCCCCTCCCCAATATTCCATATGGAGTACTTATGTGTAGAATGTGATTACTTCATTAATACATCAAAGTATGGATACACTTTGAACACATTTCTGAAGTTGTAATCCCTTTCTTGATGAATAGTAGCTGCACATGAACAGAATTGATGTTTTCTCTGGAGCAGTCAGTTAGCACTGGTAGAATCTGTTCTGTAATCCCAGGTCCTTGGGCTCCAGTGTCAGTGCTTCCTCCTTAAATCCTCCCTGACCCTGTAAATTTACCTCAGTCTCTATTTCTTAATCCAATGGCTATTTAAATTGATCTTCAATTACTTTGTATGTGGCCAGATATTATTTATGGGTTATATTCTAATTCACATATTTCTGATGTAATTTCAGAGAGCCTAGAAAATATCACCTAGTGAATATCTACTTCCATGAAGCCAATGATACATTTTTAGGTCTTAAACTTCAATATTTAAAATATTTGTCTCTGGAATTTGAAAAATAATGTGTATGCCTTGTTTACTGGATAAAAAGGCTAATCACTTATTCATCTGATTAGTAATCAAACTTTCTAAAATTTATTTAATACTTGATGTTACTTTATGTTTTATATAAATGTGTATTTCCATGACAGTTTTAGTGTCACCTAATATTATTTTCAATGTTGTAATTTTTATTTATATGAATCTTTCTGTTATACATTTTAATGTCATTGGTATTAAAAGTGTATGAGCAAATAGCTTGAAATAGTGCCTAGCACATCATGGATTCTATGTAAATATTCACCACTCTGTTTCATCACATTTTAACCCATTCATTCCACTCTTCATTTCCTAACACTTTGTTTGTCCTTATTCAAATTTTGTTGGTGTCCTGTCTACATATTAATAGAAGAGAGGAGGTAGGCCCAGACTTCCATCTTGATTAAATACTAAGACAAATGGCAATTTTCCTAGTTCTATATATATTCAACATTACATTTGTCTCACACTATAAATATGAGTATTAAGTACAGCAAGAAAAATAATCTTAACCTTCCTGCAAGAGATGTTGGGATATTTACGGATTGTCCACAACTTCTTTCGCCCAACATTATATTTATTCTTACATCTCAACTGCCATGAAAACCTAGAAGCATGAAACACTACAAATTAGAAACAAATTCCCTGCTATACACAAATTGTAAAAGTAAACTCAAGAAGAAATCGAATATATGCATACTCATACAACAAGAAAATAGATTAGACTAGTGAAAACTCTTCATCAGTCTAGCCCAGGCTCACATAGCTTTACTAGTGAATTCTATTAAACACTTCATGAATAATCAATCCTTCACAAACACTTGCAAAACAGAGAAGCAGGAAAACATCAATTCATTTCTGAGGCCAGTATTACCCGGATAACAAATTAGATGAAAGCATCACAAGAAAATAAATGTGCAGACTATTATCTCTCATGAATAAAGACAGAAATCTCCAAAAACTCTAGCAAACTGGATGAAGCAACACACAAAAATGTTAGACAAGCCTGGCATTGTGGTGCACACCTGTAGTCCCAGCTACTTAGGAGGCTGAGGTGGCAGGATCACTTGAGCCCAGGAGTTTGAGGTTATAGTGAGCTGTGACTGTGCCACTCCACCCCAATCTGGGTGACAAAGTGAGGCCTCATCTGTAATAAAAATTAAGGAAAATTAGAAAAAATTTAGACAATATAACCAAGTGGAATTATCTTATCAATACAAATTTAAAAATCAATCAGTGTAATACACCATATTAATAGAATAAAGGAAAAGACCATGATGATTTAAATGGACATCTGACAAAGTCTGACACTCATTCCTGATAAATCCTCCAGAAATCTAGCAATAGAAATAACTTCTTCAACCTCCTAAAGAACATCCATGAAAATTTAATAAATTCCACTAAGGTATATTGAAAGACATTTTGATACTTCCAACTCTATGGTTTTAAAGATTAACAATGAAATTATAACTAATAGTAATCTCTCCATATGGAAAACATTAAACACTTTTCTAACAATATTTCTTTTGCATGTGATAAAGGTAAAGATTCAAATTTAATAAGAGGATTGCTCTTGAGAAGACTGAAATTTGGTGTTCCTAATTTTCTGACTTATTAGCAGTTAGAATCTAATTATCAATAATTCCAAGAAGACAGGGGTATTGTCCTCAGCCAAAAGGCATGATCACATAGAATCCTTATGTTAGGCATAACAGCATTACATATTTGAATCATTTGATAACATTGCCATCATTGCTGTATTCTCCTGGAAATAACACACAATACAGACTTCAAAAAATCAGAACTTTTGTTGAGATATATGCTCCTTCCAAAGGTGATTGTGTGCAGTATTCTGCGAATCAATTCCTTCAAAGGTAAAGTGTGGCTATCTGGGCTTCTGGGAATATTCCGAAAATCCACATATTCTAAAAATCTTTTCCACTACAAACCGCCATAAATGCTGGAAAACAGAATATGTGCTCAACTGCGCAAATTATACTTTGGGGCTTTTGTACACAGTTTTTGCACAGAAATATTTAAGTGAATATAAATTAATTCAAAAGTTTTCCAGGTGGATATTGAGGAAGAAACAGAAAAATCCAAGACAATCCCCTGTGGAAGAAAATTATCCAACCCAAATTTCAACTGAACCCAAAGCTCAACCCAAAGCACTAAACAGCACATCAAGACCTGTCAAATATAATCACACAATCTAATACTTTTAAATATGCAAAATGAAGAGCACCAAAGTCAATGTCATTCAGAAATAACAATAACAAAACTAGAACACCCCGATGCCATTAGGCCTCAAGGAATTCCAAAGTAGTGTATTAGGTATAAAAAATATATATGAAATTAGAAATGTTTACAGAAATTAGAGGGATTTTTTTGTTTGTTAGTTTGTTGGTTTGTTTGTTTGAGACGAGGTCTCGCTCTGTCACCCAGGCTGGAGTGCAGCAGCGCGATCTCGGCTCACTGCAAGCTCCGCCTCCTGGGTTCACGCCATTCTCCTGCCTCAACCTCCCGAGTAGCTGAGACTACAGGCACCCGCCACCATGCCCGGGTAATATTTTGTATTTTTTTTTTATTAGAGATGGGGTTTCACCGTGTTAGCCAGGATGGGAGGGATTTTTTTTAAAAAAAGATTTGGCCTCTAAAACAGTTAACATTTCAGTAAAGGAGAAAAGAGAAATTCAATGTTTGATATACATACATACAAATAAATTTCAGGAAAATGAAAAGTCCATATGATGATAGAATCCAAATTATATAAAAGAAATCTCAGTATTTGTTTTTACACATTTTAAGGAAAAAGCAAGCCTGAAAGCATAAAATGCAGAAAATAATAAGTCTGGAGTTTTCAAGTCTCTCTCACTGACTTTGCCACTTAGAGAACAGCCAGCACAGGCTCAGGATCCCCTACTGGGCATTTCTGCCAAGGAGACCATACTCATCGAAATGGAGGAGAAAGCTATGCGCACAAGTACTGAGGGATCTAGCCAGCAGCCCACAAGGCAAGGGGGCTCTCTCTTTGTTCCCAGGCAGATCAGCAGGTTGAGAAATAATAGACACACACAAGATAGTGAAAGCTGGGTCCAGGGGGGTCACCGCCTTCTGGTTCCGCGGTGCTAACAATGCACTGGATAAACCAGCATTTATTATTAAGTTTAGTGAGGGCGGGGGTAGGTTAGTGAGGGATTTAGGGTCATTTGATTATGAGGTGAGATGGTCACATGGGGATGAAGTAGTTCTTTAACATAACATTTGTATGTAGAAGTAGAGTACATTTGTGTGTAGAATAAGAATAAGAATTGTATGTAGAGATAAGAATTTACAATATAGTGTGTGCGTCAGTAATTTCTAACAGAGCCTTAGAACAGAAACACAGTCTTTCCATAACCTATGATTAGCAAGATATTAATCAGCAGTAACAATTGCAACAAAAGCTGGTTACAAACAATCCATGGAAACAGGACATGAAGCTAGACAACCGGTTAGACCAGAAATTCTCAGAAGGGAGTATGCTTTAACCCTAAAGAGGCCTAGAAGAGCCGTGGCAAGATGAGGGCGTTTATAGCCCTATCTTATCCATATGGACAGGCGCCCCCCAATGCGTCCGTTTATAGGCTTCCCACAAGGGTCGCATTCCATTCCCAGAGCTATGAACATCTGCTTTTCTGGGATAGGAATCTTGGTGATGTGAAACCTCCCTGACTGCACGTCCATTCATAGGCTCTCTGCAGGGGGAAGCACATCACGTGATGTTGGCTGGTTCTGGCAGTCCAGCCTGGCATTGTCTTTACACAATCCTGCATACAATTTTGTATTTACAATAATCAGGAGCATTTTATCTTTTATTCCATAGCAATAGTTTCAGGGGGTCTCCCTACACACAAGATCGATGGATGCTCCTCTCCCAGAGACCAGCAGGTGCAGGTGTAGAGGGAGTGATCCAGGAGGGGTTGTGAGCACCAACCTGGGAGAAGTGGCTGGACCTCCATTGGACTCTCCTGACTGCATGGGCCTCAGAGGGTTCCAGCATAGGCGAATCCTAGGTTCCCTGTCCCATGGCTGGCCCCTAAGACTTGCTCTACCTGCCAGCTCTTTCCACAAAGACATCAGGATGTCAAACCCAACCCAGCCCCATCACAGAGAAAGGGGATTAATGTCAGGGCCCATGCCCATCCTGGCCTTTTCAGTAACTGTTAATTAAGTAGTGAATAGGATAGGCCAGAATGTGCTGCTGTGGCCCCTGGGATCACATCCCTGGAGGGAACTTGCCTGGAGTTGTGAACTGAAGGGGTAGGCTGGAGAGCCCACTTGGGGTTCAGTGAGTCGGGACTTAGTTTCCAGCTCAGTTCCCTCTGCCACTCCGGGGGAACTTGGGCTTGTCTAGAGCAGGCATTGAAGATGTCATACAGCAGACATGCTGAGCTGTCAGGTGGGTGCCAAAGGGTGAACATGAGGCATCCCGAGGGTTCCAACCATCAGAAGGTCCTGAGGTCAGCCCAGAGCCAGCACAGCCTCTGTACCTGGAGCTGCAGGTACGCAGGCTGTACCAGGAGCTGCAGGGTGGGCATTGTGCTGTGGGCTGGGCACAGTGGAGTGAGAAGCCAGTCAGGGAGGGGCTTTCATTGCCCATTTTCCTGCGGTGCAAATCAAGTCCCCAAGGCCATAAGCCAGGTGAGGCAGAAACACTGGGCTGAGGTCATCGCCTTCTCTCCTCTTTGGTTCACGCAGGCCCCTGACTTTCCTGGGCTTGCCTGAAAGTGAGAGAAGATACCTCTTCTTGTGAGGGTGGACACAGAAGTCACCCGTCAAGTGTGGTGAGGGGAGCTGAGGCACCCCCAGAGTCTTTACAGGGCAGCACCCTGTACTTGCTGGCTGGACCGGGAGGCCAGGCTGGGACATTCTGGGAACTGAGGTCACCAGTCCCCGCTATGCCTTGAATCTCTCCCCACCCTGCAACCTTGGGCCAGCTCAGGCTCTGCCACCAGCTCCCCACATCGTCGTCCCTCAGAGCCCTAGTGTGGGTTCCCCCTACTTGGTGTTTCTGGCCCCTGCTCTCCATTCTTAGGCCTGACAAGCACCCAACCTCCAAACCTGTGTCTTCCTGGGGGAGTGGGTGTTGGGACCCTTGGCACAGAACTCAGCTTAGCTACATGTGTGTCCCAGACTTGCTTAATCAATGGAGCTGTGAACCCGCTGCTCCCGCATTTCATGGGCCAGGTAGACAGGCTGCGTCCCCTTCACCCCCAGGTGTGCGCACACACAGCCTTCTCCACCTGCAATTCGGTCCTGCCCTCTTCCACCTGAAAATGACCAACTCACACCCCAGGCGTCAGATCCGCGGCTCCTTCTTGCTGAAGCCTCTCTGATATCGCCTCCGGCACCGATACCCCCTCGGAGCCCGAGCACAGTCCCAGCTGAAGCCGCATGCTGTGCAACAGAAGCCTGCGCCCCACCTCGCTGTGCA